>NC_000012.12:27848125-28000820 GCF_000001405.40 Homo sapiens | reverse complement strand
GAACACCTTTCCTGTAACACAAGTATATGTGTTCTCTCTTACTTGGCCTAAAAGTGGTCCAATCAGCTCATCCCCACTGCCCTCCACCCACGAGTCTCAGTTCTGCCCAACACAAGGCACAATGCAGGAGCGAATGTCAGCCTTACTCTAACGCACAGAACGACAGCACCCGATCAATCCAGCTAGAGGAGGAAAGACAGCCTGAAAACATTATTTAATCATCTCAATTCACATCTTTGCCTGTGTTTCCAGGTCCTATTATAAGCTTATGGATAAATCTGAAAGAATATAGCAAGCCCTTAAACAAAAATAGGATCCTTTCTGAATATGTCGCTTTACTGGTTGGATAGATATGTATTCATTCTCTGAAGTTAACTGAAAGCACTAACAACAGCAGTAGAAAAAAAAAAAAAAACCTGTCTGAAGCAGCATTCAGAAATCAGTAAAAATAGAATTGGACTGTTCCATTGTGAGATGCCTTAGTTCTCCTGAAAGTGAATAACATAAATAACGATGGACCAGTTTTCTGCTGTGTCTCCCTACCGCTATGAACAACATGGCGGCTTCAGCAGATGAAAGAGATTATGTGATAGCTGCTCAGAGTTTGGATTTTTTTTCCAGTAAATATTTCTGAGAATCTTAGAGTATGAGTCAAGAGATTCTTGAGGATAACCCTCGGATACAGATAAGTCTGAGAATTACACTTGTAGTGCTCAAACCTGTGTTTAAAAGTGGTATTGCTCTAATTGCCTGCATGCAGCTGGTCAGAGGGGCAGAAGGTTTGACCTCCTGGCTCTTGGCCTTAAAAAAAATTAAGAAAATAATTTAGAACAAAGCTGAGAAGATGGTATTGGTAAATAGTAAGTGATCGCAAGGGTTAAATATTTAAAATTGGTGTTACCCAAATCCAAAAAAGCGCTCTCATAGTTGCACGTGTGGGGGCAATCACTCATCATCACAACCTATGTTTGCCTCACCTCTCCTCTGAAAGAGAGATGCAAGCTATTCTGAAAGCAAATAAATACCCTGACATATTTTTGGAGGTGGCATGTAAATCAAGAACAAACTTGTTCAAGTTGACCTAGACTTAAGAACTTTTGCAATTTTGTGGTGTGACTAAGCCACTAAATGCTCAATTTTTACACAATACCATAGAGTCTAACTTGGAGCAGTGCAACTGTAGTAATTTGCCAAAATGGTCAGGTTTGTTAGCAACAGTATAGGCTTCTAATGTGAATCAGAAAGGAACAATTAGGGATAGGCAAAGCCAACAGGTTTTAAGACAAACATCTTGGCTGATTCTAAGAAAACAGTTTTGCTTTCCTCTTTTGTTTTAAATGGAAAACAATTTATTAATCAAAGGAAATTTACTTAATAGTTCTGACTAAGTCTAAATCTTGATATATTTTAGGTAGCCAAGACATTTTTAGAGATGTTATTGAAGTAAATAATGATATATTTTTACTTTAAAAACCTGATAGTTTAAATTCTGGGGAAAATTCAGAGTCCAAATTTGGGCTATTAACAATAATACAGATTCTGAACATGTGGCCATAAAGAACCTTCTTTTCTTCTCTACTGAAGACACATTTGCAATTATCATAGATTCTCTTACTATATTCACACAACATAAAATGAAGTGCTATCACACACAAAACCCTTAATGTCAACCAAAATTCTACTTCTTGATAGGATGCATTTGAAAATCATTCTATATTTTTGTTGCAGAATCTCCCAAATCTTTTGTAGGCATATAGTTTGCATATCTTCAGGATTAAAAACACTTCAAGCTTTATAATCTCTGTAGATCATTGTTTTTTTAGGGCATACCATGCTGGTTTCATAAACCTGATCAAATCTTTGCCTTCAGGCAGACATCTGCAGTTGTTGGCCTCCAGGTGCTTGAGAGTCCTGGTACTTCAAGACCCTCCCCCTAAGGAAGAGAAAAAAAAAAGAACCTCCAGGAAATCTGCAGGTGCAAGTGTGTTTGAGGGGAACTTAATGAATGATGGATTGCCCTTCTTTTATGTTGTGTATTCAAATAGGCAGTGTGTGTTTGCTCTGATGTAGTTCTGACCTTAAGTACACAGAAAATGAGCTCAGAGCTTTTTCTTGGTACTTCTGATGGAGTTTCTCTTTCTTGTTGCCAAAACATCCACCTTTAAGAGTACTGACTGAGGTACTGAGAAAATGAGTTTTCTAGAAGAAAATAGCTAAAAAAATCTCAGTAAAGGACCATTGATACTAGCGAGATAAATATATGGATACTGTATTAGTCCATTTTCACACTGCTATAAAGAACTACCAAAGACTGGGTAATTTCTTAAGAAAAGAGGTTTAATTAATTCACAGTTCCACAACCTTAACAGGAAGCCTGACTGGGAGGCCTCAGGAAACTTACAATCGTGGCAGAAGGGGAAGTCAGCATATCTTACCATGGCAGAGCAGGAGAAAGAGAGTGAGCGGGAAGTGCCACCCTTTTAAACCATCAGATCTCATGAGAACTCACTCACTATCATGAGAACAGGATGAGGGAAATCTGTCCTCATGATACAATCACCTCCCACCCCTGACATGTGGGGATTACAATTCAACATGAAATTTGGGTGAGAACACAGCCAAACCATATCAGATACCATTGTCTTCATCACTTGGACATTTGCCTATGACCGAGTGTTTTGATTCAGAAGCAGAAGATAATTTGAGATAAATGGCTTATGCCCAAGACTCCTAGAAGACCAAAGCCACTCATGGTCCCATGCTTCTTTGAAATTTTGTATTCTTTTTTTTTTTTTTTCTTGAGACAGAGTCTTGCTCTGCGACCCAGGCTGGAGTGCCATGGTGCAATCTCGGCTCACTGCAACCTCCACCTCCCAGGTTCAAGCGATTCTCCTCCTCAGCCTCCCGAGTAGCTGGGACTACAGGTGCCTGCCACCTTACCCAGCTAATTTTTTTTTTTTGTATTTTTAGTAGAGATGGGGTTTCACCATGTTGGCCAGGCTGGTCTTGAACTCCTGACCTCAAATGATCCACCAACCTCGGCCTCCCAAAGTGCTAGGATTCTAGAAATGAGCCACCATGCCTGGTCTGAAAGTTTTTATTCTTTATCCTCTTTGTTATTTTCTTTGTTCTCTGATGGTTCAAAATAGTAGACACTCATATCCTTTAATCATGGTATACTTAATATCCTTACCCCTAACAATTATCAGAAATGGAATTCATTCTCCAGACACAGACCAAGTTGAACTACATATATTAAATCAAAAGAAGAGGCCATTTGACTATCTAAGGAAGGTTTAAGTAGCTTAAGGGACATATGGGTTATGTTTCACTTAGATTATACACACACACACACACACACACACACACACACATATCACACATCTTATAGATAATGTCTGGCATATAGTAAATTGTTGTTGCCATCAAAAGTACATGAAGAGTTTGGGAGTAAGAATCAGTCACTTCGGGAAAATTCTCTTGGTGAAGAAAAAAATAATCCTAAAAAAGCAAAGACTGAATGGAGCAAAAGAGGGTAGATGTCTCCCTCTTGGACATTATCTGGGCTACGCAATGTTCCCACCACAGGTACATGTGGTAAATGCTCTTCCTTGGCCCCTTAAAAATCATTTCCAATCCCCTTCTCACTGGACACCTCCCACTGTGGAGTCTGGAGAAGGAGAGCTGTCTACTCATGTCCCCAGACTTTCTTGCCTGTAGTGTAAAATGCCAAGTGCTGGCCAAGGAAAAACAAAAAGTATTCTGAGTGAGCTCCTGAGAGAGACTTTTCTTTCTAGATAAAGAGAAGAGCCCTTGACTCTTCATCTTGCCTTGCATGTGAATGTGATGCCTGAAGCTGTGTCAGTGTTACGCAAACATGGAGTTATAAGCATGAGGAAGAAAGCAAGCGTGTGAGGATGGTGAAAGATAAAGGGAGAAATAACCTGGATCCTTGAGGGCTCTGCAGAGCTACTGAACCGATGCCAGCAAACACCTAACTCAAGATTCTTGTAATGAGAGGCAAAAATAGCACCTATTGTTTAATCTACTGTTAATCAGATTTTGTTGTTTGTTGTTGCTTGCCCCAAAAATACATCTATCAGATATGGTATGTTATTCACAGGCTTTTATTTATATGCATATGGAGAAGTCACATCAATGCTTGCTTTGTGTCCCATCAGTTTTGATCATGAGTCCCTCACACTCTGGAGCTGCACAAAATTGGATACTTACCAGCGGCACCTGGAGATCTTGTAAGGAATAGTGATTCCTGGAACTAATACCCAGAAATATTGCTTCAGTAGATCAGAAGTGCAATCTGATGTGGTGTCATGGTTTGAGAGCTACCTCAAGATCCACTTTCACTCATAAGCCAAGTGAAATATATTCTATTTCTGTGAAAGATTGTCTTTCTAAAAGAAGTCCTCAACCCATAGCTATTATCCAAGAAATTCAATCAAGAAAGGAACACACATTTTAGGACTTTGTTTTTCAATCTAAAACTACCAAAACAGATTCTGAGGTTGGAATACAGGAATTCGCATTTTAAATAACCACCCCCAACAGACTCTGAGCCCTTTCCTCCAGATGATTGTACAGACTGCCATTCACTCTTTCAAGAGTACTGGTGGATCAACCAACATATACCAGGCACTGTTCAAGGTACTGGGCTTCCAGCTGTGAACAAGCTAGACCAGGCCTTTACCCTCGTGTGGCCTATATGGGAGGTGAGAGGCAAGATACACAAATTAAAAAGTAAAGTAATAAATCAATAGGAATTCCGGATCATAAGGTCTATAAAGACAACAAAACATGATATGATGTTTTAATAGAGAATGCATTGCTTGGGATGGGATAGAATAAAGCAGTCAGAGAAGTCACCACTAAATAGATGGCATCTAGGCTCAATTCTGAAAGAAAGGAGAGGGCCCTTTTGCCATGAACTAGGAGAAAAGCCTCACAAGGAACCACAAGGCAAAGGCCTTAAGCAGGAATGAGCTGGCACACTTCAGGTACAGAGAGAAGGCCAGTTTACAATGAGAAGAGATGAGTTCAGATTAGAGATTCAGATATTCTTGGCCAGAATAAGAAGTTTGAAAGAAACTCTATTTTTAGCGGAAGCTAGCAAAAGATTTTAAACAAGAAGGAAGAGGAGGGAAAGGTAGGTGTGTGTCTATGGGCATGTTGTGGGAGGGTGTATTAGTCAGGGCTGTGCAGAGAAATGGAACCAATAGAGGAGGGAGAGACAGAGATAGAGACAGAGACAGACAGAAGCAAGAGAGAGAGAGATTTATTTTAAGGAATTGATGACACAATTGTGGGAGCTGGTAAGTCTGAAATTTATGGAAGAGCTGAGTTGCAGTCCTGAGTCAAAAATCTGCAGGATGAAAACTCAGGAAGGGTTTCTATGTTGCAGTCTTGAGGCAGGATTGCTTCTTTTTTCAGGAAATCTCCATTTTTGCTCGTAAGCCTGTAACTAATTGGATGAGGCCCATCGTATTGTGGAGGGCGGTTTGCTTTACTCCATGGCTACTGATGTAGATGTTAACCAGATCTAAGGATACCTTCACAGCAACATTCTGGCTGGTGTTTGACCAAACAACTGGGCACCATAGTTTAAGCAAGTTGACCCAGAAAATTAACTATCACACTATCACAGTGTGTGTGTGAAAGTGTGTGTGGGTGTGTGTATTTGAAGTGATCCTCCTCTCAATACCCATCCATCCATTCATAACTTTGGATGTATAGGGAAGCAGGCATGACCTAATTCCTGACTGGCTCACCTACCATGAAGGCTCCACCTGTCCTTTGCTGGAAGATGTCCCCCTTGGTCTGTCACCCTGGCTGCTTTTCACCCCTCTACACAGGCTGCATTTCTTTTCAACTACCCTGTCCAATTGCTCCAATCTGTCTTCCTGCTTGACTTCCTGCCTGTATTGGCTCACTGACAGTTTGAGGAAGACTTTTTCATTTAAACCTTAACTTTTAAAAACATTTTTCTCTTCACGATGGGTCAATGAAACTATGATCCTTTGGGATGGAGCTTTCTCTATGCCATAAAATAGTTAATATGATATTGGGTTCAATCATCTATAAGCCATGCAGAAGATTGTGTCAATCAAGAATGGGTCAATTAAGCAATTAAATGTATTTTTCTCTAATCCCTTGCTAGTCAAATTGTGATTCATGGACTGGTAGCGTCCGGATCATCTAAGAAGTAATTAAAAATACAAAATTTAAAACCTAGTTCAGACTTCCTAAATCAGAATCATATTTTTATAAGCTCCCCAGGTGGTTCATATGTACATTAAATCTTGAAAAGAACTGCCTTATGCTGGTGGTCGTCAACCTTAGTTGCACATGGCAATCACCTTCAAGGTTTAAAAACACTGATGCCTGAGTCCCAACTTCAGAGATTCTATTTCATTGAGGGGTTTGGGAGGAGAACACCAGGTATTAGAATATTTATAAGCTCACCAAGCATTAAGACATGATTCTTAAGCATTAGTGTGCAAAACCTCATCTGGAAAGTTTGCACGATTGCTTATTCTTGAGCCCTCTTCAAGGATTGATTCAGGAGGCCTAGAATGGGTTTCAGGAACCTGTACATTTTTAACCAGCACATGCAGTAGATTTTGGTGTAGGTGGCCCAAAGGCCACACTTTGAGAAACACTGCGTTAAGGAACTGTTGAAGGAAAAAAGAAAGAAACACTATGAGAAAAGGATGCCAATTAATTTAGTTGTTGATTGATGTCCATCTCTAGGTAAATCTACTTAGTAACTGTACAGCTTCTGGAAACGTAGAACAATGTCAATTTCTGACGATCATCTTCTGGATCAGAGATAAACTCCTGTCAGAAATAATGCTGCCTGCCAAGATCCTATGAAACATCCTGTACTCTTAAAGGGGCCAAGGTCATGAATAAGCCTGTACCAAGGAAATCTTACAAGTTGGAAGAAATTCCCTTCCAGGACAGAGAAGGAATTCTACTTCTAAGCCACATACTTTCTAATAATTGACAACTAAATCAAGAAAGCCCTTATAGTTCGGGAGAGTCTAAAAAACCATAGGGTAGCCATAGCAGTTGCAATCACCTTTCTCCTCTCTGGTTAGCCAGCTCTTCTGAACTCCTCAAGGTCCCACTTTTTCCAGGAAGATTTTGTGAAACACTCACACCTCCAAGATCTTTCTCTTCTCCAAACTCCAACTGGGCTCTGAGCCTGCTTATTACTGATTCATTACTATTTCATTCCCTGCTAATAGTCTTCTATATGCTAGCTTCATTTCTCTAAATAAACTGTTCAGCCGCCTTAAGACAAGAATGACGTCCATCTAGTACAGTGTTTTCATTTCCCACAGTGTCTAAAACATTGCTGGATACACAATAGAAGCTTAGCAAATAGTTGTTTGATTAAATAATGGCAATAAATACATTATACTGTCTTTCTGAATAGTTTCGTCAATTACAACGAGTGATCCTTAAAAAGGCAAAGGCACAGCCATCGCCAGAAGATTCTGAAGTATAAGCTTTCCATCAGTATTAAACAGTATTAAAATAGCAATAATAATAGAAACCAAGTAGTTTTATTGTACCTTACTGTTTTCAAAAATGTCAGGGGAATTATACCATCACTGCATCACCTATCACAACCTTATAAAAAAGGCAGGGAAAAGTTTGGGGTTTTTTCTTATTATTGTGATAAAAACACTTCACATGAGATCTACCCTCTTGGCAAATTTTTAAGTGCACAATACAGTCTTGCGAACTATAGGCACCAAGTTTTACAGAAGATCTCTAAACGTATTCATCTTGCATAAATTAAACTATATACCTGCTGAACAACTCTCCATTTTTCTTTCCCTCCCAGTCCCTGGCAATCACCATTCTACTCTCTGTTTCTATGAATTTAACTATTTTAGATACCTTGCACAAGAGGAAACATGCAGTATTTGTCTGATTGTGGCTGGCTTTGTTTTTAAGGGATCTCACTATGTTTTCCAGGCTGGTCTTGAAACCGTGGGGCTCAAGCCATCCTCCCGCCTCGGCCTCCCAAAGTGCCGGTATCACAGGTGTGAGTCACCACATCCAGCCAGTAACTGGCTTATTGCATGTAGCTTAACATCCTCCAGGTTCATTAATGTTGTCACATATGGCAGGTTTTTCTTCTTCTTAAGGCTGAGTAGTATCCATTTTGTATGTATACCACATTTTCTTTATTCATTCATCCATCAGTGGACATTTAGGTTGTTTCCACATCTTGGCTATTGTGAATAACGCTGCAATGAACATGGGGGTGCAGATATCTCTTTGAGATCCTGATTTCAGCTGAACATAGTGTCTCACGCCTGTAATCCCAGCACTTTGGGAGGCCAAGGGGAGAGGATTGCTTGAGCCCAGGAGTTCAATTCAGCCCGGGAAACATAATGAGACCTCATCTCCACAAAAACAGTTTTAAAAGTTAGCTGGGTGTGGTGGTGAGTGCCTGTGTCCCCAGTTACTCAGGAGTCTGAAGCAAGAGGATCCCTTGAACCCAGGAGTTCAAGGCTTCAGTGAGCTCTGATTGTGCCACTGCACTACACAGCCTGGGTGACAGAGTGAAATCCCATCTCAAAAAAAAAAAATTAAAAATAAAGAGATCCTTATTATAATTATTTTGCATGTATACCCAGAAATGGAATTCCTGGATCACATGGTAGTCCTATTTATAATTTTTTTGAGGAAACTATATACAGTTTTCCATTGAGGCTGAACCCATTTTACATTCCCATCAATATTGCACAAGAGTTCCAATTTCTCCATGTCTTCACCAACATTTGTTATCTTTTTTATTTTTATAATAGCTATCCTAACAGGTGTGAGGTGATATCTCACTGGTTTTGGTTTGCATTTACCTGATGATGAGTGCCGCTGAGTGCCCTGACATATGTTTCTTGGCCACTTGTTTGTCTTCTGCGGAGAAATGTCTGTTCAAATCCACTGCCCATTATTAACACGGGGTTATTTGTGGTTTGCTATTGAATTGTAGGAGGTCCTTATATGTTAGGGATATTAACCCCTTATCAGATGTATAGTTTGAAAATATTTTTCTCCCATTCTGTAGGTTGCCTTTTCACTCTTTTGATTGTTTCCTTTGCAATGCAGATGATTTTTAGTTTGATACAGTGCCATTTGTCTGTTTTTGCTTTTGTTGCTTGTGTTTTTTGGTGTCATACCAAAGAAATATTGCTGAGCCCAATGTCATGAAGCTTTTCTCCTACATTTTCTTCTAGGAGTTATTCAGTAGTTTTAGGTCTCACACTTTAATATTTAATTCCATTTTAGTTGATTTTTGTATATGGTGTTTTTTGTGTATTGTGTAAGGGACCAATTTCATTCTTTTGCACATGGATATCAAGTTTTCCCAACAACATTTATTGAAGATACTACCCTTTCCGCATCATGTATTCTTGGAACCCTTGTCAAAGATCAGTTGACTGTGTATGCATGGGTTTATTTCTGAGCTCCCTAATCTGTTTGATTGGTATACATATCTTTCTTTATGCTGGTACCATAATGTTTTAATTACCATAGCTTTGTGATATGTTTTACAATCAGGAATTGTGATGCCTCCAGCTTTGTTCTCCTTTCTTAAGATTGCTTTGGCTACTCAGGATCTTTTGTGGTTTTATATGAAATTTAGGGTTGTTTTTCTATTTCTGTAAAAAGGTACCATTGGGATTTTGATAGGGACTGTATTAAATCTGTAGATCACTTTGGGTATGAACATTTTAACGACATTAAGCCTTCCAATTCATGTACATGAGATGTCTTTCCACTTATTTGTGTTTAATTTCTCTCATCAGTATCTTCTAGCTCAGTGTACAGGTTTTTAACCTCCTTAGTTAAGTTTATTGCTAAATATTTTA
Organism: Homo sapiens; assembly: GCF_000001405.40. Classification (NCBI taxonomy): domain Eukaryota; kingdom Metazoa; phylum Chordata; class Mammalia; order Primates; family Hominidae; genus Homo; species Homo sapiens. The sequence goes on along the minus strand of NC_000012.12, from coordinate 27,990,912 downwards.
CTATTTTTGATGCTATTGCAAATGGGATTTTTAAAAATTTTCTTTTCAGTTTGTTGTCAGTGTATAGAAACACCACTGATTTTTGTATATTGGTTTTGTATCTTGAAGCTTTGCTAAATGTGTTTATTAGTTCTAAAAGGGTTGTTTTGTGGAGTCTTTTTCTATATGTAAGATCATGTCCTCTGCAAACATATAATTTTACAGCTTTTGTTCTGATTTGGATGCCTTTCATTTATTTTTCCTGCCTAATTGCTCTGGCTGGGGGTTCCAGTTGCATGTTGAATAGGAGTTGCAAGAGTAGGCATCCTTGCCTAGTTCCTGATCTTAGAGGAAAAGCTTTCAGTTTTTCATCCTTCAGTATAATGCTAGCTGTGAGTTTTCACGTATGGCCTTTATTATGTTGAGATAAATTTCTTCTATACTTAGTTTGTTGAAAAAGGGTTTTTTTTTTTTTAGACATCATCTCGCCCTGTCACCCAGGCTGGAGTTCAGTGGAGCGATCTTGGCTCACTGCAGCCTCTGCCTCCTAGGTTCAAGCAATTCTCCTGCCTCAACCTCCTGAGTAGCTGGGATTACAGGCACGCACCACCACACCTGGCTAATTTTTTTTTATTATTTTTAGTAGAAACAGGGTTTCACCATGTTGGCCAGGCTGGTCTTGAACTTCTGACCTCAAGTGATCTGCCCGCCTCAGCCTCCCAAAATGCTGGAATTACAGGCATGAGACACTGTGCCCAACCAAAAATTTTTATCATGAAAAGATTTTGAATTAAAAGATTTTTTCCTCTCAATTTGCAGTTGATGAAATTTGAACTCTCTCAGTGCCTCTTTACACATCAAAATAAAACCAAAACTTTAGTGCTCTTTTCACTACCCACAGTAGCTGGGTTACTGAATGTTTAAGGAGAAAGAAAGAGAGCAAAATTTTCAATCTATAACCAGAGAGAATCCATCATAAACAAAGTGAATCAAGGGGAAACAACTTTGCATAGCATAGATTTTTGCAACTGGGAAACTATAGGGGAAGGCATACCAGTCAGTCACTCTACCTTGAGAGAAAGTGATTGTGATTGAGAAAACAGCCAAAATACTTTTCAGCTCCTCCATCAAGAGGTGGAGTCTATTTCCTTACCTCTTGAATCTGGGCTGGTCATATGACTTATGGAGACCAACAGAATGTAGAGGAAGTTACAGCATGAGAGTTCTGCACCGGGGCCTTAACAGACCTGATAGCTTTCAAACTGTTGGATGGTGAGAGACATGTGGCCCAGTCACCTCCATCTTCCCAGCAAACAGTGAGACAACCACCAGACACATCCTCATTCACACAGAGTCCACAGCTAAGTCACCAGCTGACCACAGGCACATGAGTGAGCCTAGCTACTTGTGCGTCTGCTTAGATCAGCAGAGGCACCAAACTGACTTGTAGTTCATGAGCAATTATAAGTGGTTGTAGTATTAAGCCCTTATTTTTTGGATGCTTTGTCTACTGCGAAAGCTAACTGATGCAATAAGTGATTCTGGAAGCAAAACAATCAGGTAGATCGTAAAGCTAAGATGCAATTTACAAATAACAACAGCCATTGCAAGTAGCAGCAACACTAAAGAACAAAAAGACACTGTGTATGGCATAGAGACTGCTAATCGCATCAGCTTTTTATATCATAGGCTCAGAGTTAGTGGCTGCTATCAACAGTATACTTTAAAAAGAATAAAATGTACATAATACATTTTATGTACAGTGGCTTGTTTTTTGAAAGTACTAACAGAAAAAAAATCACAAAGCTATAGCAGCATCAACCACTTGATTTATTGATAACAAAAACCTTGTGATTCACTCCTTCTCCCAGCACAGCCTTTGTAGAGAGCTAAGCTGGTAATGAGTATATGAGCCAGCTCTTCTGCCTTATTGAAGTGACTGGATTTAGCTCTTTCAAGTTTAGATATAACCCTTTGCCTATATCCATTTCCCATCACAGTGGAACTTCACTTAACAGATTTTACACTTATAAAATAAGAATTATGGTTTGAAGGCCAAGAGGAGAAAAGAACAAAGAGAAAAGGAAGAAATTGTTATGTCAACACTCGCTCAATTAGTGAAGACTGGCATGCTCGAGCATGTGCCTTCCAACCTTTCTTCCAAACCTCAAACCACCTCAAATTCTCTTGCTAGAGGGTAGAAGAAAGGGTCAGGAAATGCATGAAGGATACAGTCCACATCCATACCAAATCCTACAATGACTGTTTTAGAAAATAATCACACAGTGTGAGCATTTCATTAAAAAGGAGCTGAGGTATCTAATTAAGTATATATTTTTTAGAACCTTAGAAAATATATTTACAAAGAAAATCTCAGTTTAAAGGCAGATCCCTTCTAAGTTCCCAAGAGTATCATTGAACCAATCCAGTCCTTGGTATGCTGGAGTCCATGGATTATCTGAGACTAAAGCAACCACAGAATCTTCCACTCCCCACGCCTAATGGTTCCATATGGCCCTTGGAATACAGAAATTCCTAAGCCTGAAACCCTGCCACCGTCTGGCTCCAGCAGACCTTTCCTACAATTCCCATTAGTGTGTCACACTCCTTTCTTATCCTCAAACATAGGCAATGTTTTTCTGACTTCATGCCAATTTTTCCACAAAAAATATTTTCCCTACTCATCTCTACTAGTTAAAAATGGCACCTAACCTTTGAAGCCCATGTCATATGTTATTTCTTTATTCAAGTGTGCCTACCTTTCTACAATTTGAGATAGTCTCATGTCATGAATCTCATCTCCCCACCACAGAAATTACAAATCATATCCTCAGATTCCTTCACAGCTAGGAAGCTGTCATGTGACTGAATCTAGTCAATCAGGAGTAGCCACTTGAGATACTGATTCAAAAAAGAGCGACGGAGAGTTGACTATGCTCAGAGGAAAGAATCTCCTGGCAAGGATGGCATAAGAAGCATTTGGTTGTCAGGCATGGTGGCTCACGCCTGTAATCCCAGCACTCTGGGAGGCCAAGGCGGGTGGATCGCTTGTAAGGTCAGGAGTTCAAGACCAGCTTGGCTAACATGGTGAAACCCCATCTCTACTAAAAATACAAAAAATTAGCCAGGCTTGGTGGCAGGCACGTATAATCACAGCTACTCGGGAGGCTGAGGCAGGAGAATTGCTTGAACCCAGGAGGTGGAAGTTGCAGTGAGCCAATATTGCGCCATTGCACTCCAGCCTGGCCAAAAAGAGTGAAACTCCATCTCACAAAAAAAAAAAAAGGAAGCATCTGGTTTTTGCTTGACAATGGGGTCTGAGCTTCTAGTCACCATCTTTCATTGAATCTAAGATGTTATCAACTATAGATGCAGCATTATTTCACATACCGCTAAAATAATTTTGTAATGATGCCAATGGAGCTATGATGCAATGTGGATTTTTTTTTGTTTGGTTGGTTTTTTTTTTTTGTTTGAGACAAAGTCTTGCTCTGACACCCAGGCTGGAGTGCAGTGACACAATCATAGCTCATTGTAGCCTCGACCTCTTGGGCTCAAGGGATCCTCTCACCTCAGCTTCTTGAGCCGCGGGGACTACAAGCACGTGCCACCAAACTAGGCTAATTTTAAATTTTTTTTTGTAGAGATGGAGTCCTGCTGTGCTGCCTAGGCTGGTCTCAAACTACTAGGCTCAAGCAATCCTGCCTCGGCCTCCCAAAGTGCTGAGATTACAGGCATGAGCAACCACACTTGACCCAGTATGTTCTTATAACTTGAAATTTTTATGTTTTTACTCATGGGAAAACTCTGTTAAACATATAGACATAAGTTTTCATCATAAAATGTATTGGTTAAGTTATTCACATTCGGAGTCTGGCTTTTCTGAATGACCTTCAGACTCAGAATCAATCGTGTCCATGTTTACATATGCAATATCATCCGTTGGGCCGAGGCAGTTAGTGATATAGCATTTCTTAAGAGTGCTCCACTATAATCTTTAGGAGTTTCTTCCAAGCCACTAGAGCCAATTCTATGAGTTTTGGTGCATGTGAATAGGCAATTACAACTCCCTTGTGACTGCCACTTGGCCAACAGCAATTGTGAGGTGCGGCGTAATTTTAGAGAGGTTAATAGGTTAGGGGGGGAAAAACGGTGTCCTAGAAAAAAAATGAAATATGCTCTGTCTTCCCTGGTGACTCCAAGTTTGTGGGTCACTTTCATTGCTATGATATGGCATAGTCTATCCAATGAAAAAAGCAGTTAGTAGTGCCTTAAAGACTATGAAATTGAGGAAAAACCTCAACTCCTAGCCCACTGTCTTACAGTTTTTACCGGCCTAACACACAAGACTATAATACATATTCAAAGTACTTTACTCAGGCATTGCAACAAGCATTATCAGAGAGGAGGATTAAAAAACATAATTTTGACTAATTTGGACTTTCACTGTGTCACAGTAGGGAAGGCATTTTAAAATGCAGATTTCTGCATACATCAACCTTCTCAAGCCTCCCAGACCAACCAACTCCAAGTCTTTCTCCAGAAAAACATCACTAGTTCCATGGGATAAAGTGTGATATTTGGATAAAGTGTGATAGTTAGAATTCTCCAACTCAAGGCGTATCCTAGACTTCAATTAGGTCACCTTTGACATTTACCTCTGCTCAATTTCATGGCCTCTGGGTGAAAGATGGGCTTCAGGTATGAGCAAGGGTGAAGGTGGGTTCTTCAACTAAACTCCAAATACAGAACACCAGTGACAGCTATGGAGTCTCCAGTTCCCTCACTAGGTAACCACCTGTTAGAAATGTCTTAGCTACAAATAACAAAACTCAACTCAAAGTGGCTTAATATTTATAACATTTATTATCTCTCATGACAAAATTTCATAGGTAAGTCAATCACCAGGCATCACATAAATGAAGTCAAAACTCTGCTTCTCTAAGATCCTCCAGGCTCATCCTTCCTCTGAATGTTAGCTTCGTACTCAGGCAGAGAGCAAGATGGCTGCCACAAATCCAGGCGTCATATCTGGTACAACAGTGTCTACAGGAGGAAGAGCGGACGCTCTATGTTTCTCTGAGGAGCAAAGAAACTCTTCCCAGAATCCCTCAGCACTTCTCCAGCCAAGATTGTATTGAACAGAGTTAGATCACATACCTATGCTTAACAAATCACTGGTAAGGGGTTAGGACCACCATAATCGGTTTAAACCAGCCAGGACTCTGGAATTGCCAGGGCTGAAAGTTGGAGCTGGGGCCTGCCCACCCCAAAGAATATCATCACATGGAGAAGTGGGGAATGCCTGAGCAAAATCAGGGTCCTATTAGGAAGGAAGAAAGATGTGCCAGAAAAGATGTGAGGTAACCAACGGTATCTGCTAAGTAGGTAATCTCTCTAAAATATGAACTTCTCTTAGGGATGGTCCATTCTAATCATTATTGATAAAAGAATACTCATATTAACAGAGCTATGCCCCCTCTTTAGGAATAAGTATTACTGCGCTGTGGCACATTGGGCTATTTGCTTCTCTGTTGGAAGCCCGGTGCCATTAAAAGGAGCTGAAGGTTTTACTTATCTTTTCTTTCTTACTGGAGAAATAACACTGCATATGATTGCATTTTGTATTCAATTTACTCCTCCCATAAATATTTGATTTTACTCTGAGGAGTAAAAAAGGAGGCCGTCATTATTTTATATAAGCCTAATTCCCACACACACAAGTCTGTAAACCCTTCAAGGGAAAGAAAAGACAGTGTCTTTTTCATATTTATATAGCCTATAGAATTCAGTTCAGTAAATAAATGATAAGCTGAATTATTAATCTCATTAATTCTTTCCAGGCCTAACATAAATCTTCATGACAGTGAGAATTAAGGCTCCAAGCTAGGTAGGCCTGTGTGCATTAGCAAAGATCCTTGGACTTTAAGATACTCTCCTCTCCACAATTCCAATTCCAAATATCACCCAGATACAGAAACTTTCAGGATGGAATTTCTGCTGTTTATAGCCATGGAGTTGGCTGCAGTGGGAAAAAAATTACAGTCCCTAAGGCAGACAAGCATTATTTGGAAAAATTCAGACCTTGATCAGATCTTACCAATCCATGTCCTTTCAGCTTCTCCCACCTAGATGGGACCTCATTTCTAAGAATTAGTAGGCTGAAAAATCCTTTGGTAGGGTATATCAAAACTTCAATATGTTCAGACAGATGTACATACAAATAGTAACTTTAAATGAAAGTCTCTATATGATTTGATATTTCTCCTCTTTCTTTCTGCTATCCTGTTGCCTTATTTAATCTCCCCAGTTAAGAGCTTTGGGTTTTTTCCCCCTTTCCTATGACACAGTGTATTTGCTGACTATCCTGACTCATGCCCTTTGGTTCTGATTCCTCCACTGTTAATTCTTATCTCTCTATTCTGACCCCAGCCTCGAAGTTTGTTATGTCTGAGAAGTCCTTAGATACCATGGTTACCCAAAGGGTCAAACTGACTCTCCCCAAAACTGAACATTGCTGACTCATGGGATGCCACAGGGATTGTAATAGCCACAGCTGAAATTGCTGTCCAAACAAAGATGCTTAGATAATAGCAGCTATTTTCAAAACCCTGTTACAAATCAATTCGCTACCCTTTATTAAAAGATATTCAATATGGTATTCATGCTGGGAATCAGGTAAGATGGTATTTCCTGAACTGATTTATACAATACTAACATTTTTCAGGTAAAAGAAGGAAAATATTGAGAGAGTAAAAAGCCAGACAAAAATCTTCAGTCTTAAGGTCATTTTCATTGTCTAATTGTCCCAATGTGTTACAAAATGCTAATCTGAATGTCTGAGAAGTAATTTTTTTAATTTCAATAGTTTTGGGGGTACAGGTGGTTTTTTGTTACATCGATATGTTCTTTAGTGATGATTTCTCAGATTTGAGTGCATCCATCACCCAAGAAGTGTACGCTGTACCTCATATGTAGTCTTTTATCCCTCACCCATCTTCCATCCTTTCCCCCCAAGTCCCCAAAGTCCATTATGTCATTCTATGCCTTTACGTCCTCATAGCTTAGCTCCCACTTATAAGTGAAAACATACGATATTTGGTTTTTCATTCCTGAGTTACTTCACTTAGAATAATGGCCTCCAGCTCCATCCAAGTTGCTGCAAAAGACATGATTTCATCTCTTTTTATGGCTGAGTAGTATTCCATGTTTTACATATACCTCATTTTCTTTATCCACTTGTTGGTCAATGGGCACTTAGGTTAATTTCATATCTTTGCAACTGAGAATAATGCTGCTACAAAACTGTGTGTGCATGTGTCTTTTTCATACAATGATTTCTTTTCATCTGGGTAGATACCCAGTAGTGGGATTGCTGGATCGAATGGTACATCTACTTTTAGTTCTTTAAGGCATCTCTCTACTATTTTTCAAAGTGGTTGTACTAATTTACATTTCCAACAGCAGCGTAAAAGTGTTTGAGAAGGGAGCAATTTAAATCAAGATCTATGTATTTCTACCTAGAATAATGGTTAAATATAATATATGCACTGAACTAAATATTTCAATAGGGCTTTCTAGCTTATAAAGCAACTTTACCTGTATTACTTCATTTGATTCTTATGACAGCCCGATGGAGTGTACACTAATGCTATTCCCATCTTAAATGTGAATAAAGTCAGACTCTAAGACGTTTTGTGCCTTTTCTGAGTTTATAAAACCAGCTGGTAAAAGGAAGAGCCAAAACTAAAATCTAGCTTCTTGACTCACTCTTTCCACAGCCCACATTGCCAATATATATTCAAGACAAAAGATAAATATAGTCCTCAGTTCCTAAACAAACTCAGCGAAAATTGGAAGCCAACAGGTTGCAATTCAGGTGTTTCTTCTTGATATAAAGCCTGTGGCTTTGCCTTACAATCTGTTTTTCTTTGGTTCAGTAGAACATAATGATAACGTTTCTTTGAGGAGCAACTGGAAGAATCTAATGAATGGGCAATATTCCCAAGGGGACTTGGAATGTACAATGTGCTGATGGTTGGCTGAGTGACAACAAGGAATAGTCTCCTGAAGTTGTTAAAGCACTCAATTTTCCCCTGATTTTCATTATTTATACATGCACTGAAGCCCTAATTATTTGAATCATCCTCTAAATCAAAAGTGTGATACCTCGTTAAGCATAGGGTGGTCTGATGTCCCTTTTAAAAGCACCCCTTAAGGTCATTCTGCTCTATTATCTCCAGTTTATAAGATGAAAGTAGTTTCCACTACCCTTGGCATTCTGCCAGAAACGTTGCCCACTTTTATTCTTCCAGCAACTTCTATTAGAGCCTGAGTTAGGCTCCATTCAAACAGTCTTCCTGCCAAGAACAAGACAGCAACTATGATTTCCAAGTCCTATCCAATGATGTGTTTCTAACAAACAATGCAATGTTGCTTGCATTTGAGGTTTTATCTACTGGGGTATGTAACTAGCCCTTCTTGATGGGATAGGAAAAAACTCAATAATAAGGTCTCACACATTCACAGAGGTCTGAAACCCCACTGAAAATTTAATATGTAGAATTATAAGAGATGGGGTTTGTAAATCTGATTTTTTTGGTTTTTAACACAATTCTGCATTCTTCTGAACCAACATAGCAAATATATCAAGCTCATAACGCCATGGTGAACTGAAAGGGAATTGTTCAGAGTGATTGTAAGGAAAATGTAGTGCTTAATCACAGCTATCATAGGTCATCTGAGGGGAAAATGTGGTTTTAAAAAATTACTGAAAATGCATTCCTAGGCTTTATTATAGAGTTGAATGTGGCAGTCAGGGAAAGGAGTGGGGAACTGACTCAGGTATGACAGACACTATTCTGTCCAACTCATCTGCCATGACAAGAAAATGTATTTAACTTAGTGTAGGAAAAAAATACAAGTTCAACATACAAAAGCTTTCGTTGATTCATGATTCAGCTATGATGATACCATCTAAAGGACAATAACCAGTCTTTCCTACTAGCAGGAATCTTTACTTGGGTGTGGTAAAATAACATTATCCACTTTGGCTACATGATCAGATCTTAGAGACTATTTTAATTGTGTTATAGTTTGGGAGGTAAAATAAATGAATATAGGAATGAAAATAAGGCTTGCCTTTATAATAAAAATATTATTGTGGCTAAAAACAATTTATTTCTGGGCAAGTCTAACTTATCACATAGGATTTTCAAAAGGTAATCATGTTTAACCTGACATTAGTTTCATATACCAGTAATCCTTTAGTTTATTGATATAAAAAGTATGTAGTGATCATTAAGAAAATTGCCAACTCAGGGGAGAAATCTGTCTTATCAAAGAAATATGTATATTTGTTAGTGTGCCAATATACGTATGTAGAGGAAAAGTATTTGCGCCTTTCAACCTTCATTCATTCTTTTATTCTTTGAAATATTTTTTGATTTCCTACCATGTGCCAAGTATTGTTCTAAGTGCTAGAGATAAACAGACAAAAATCTTAACCCTCACAAAATTAGCGTTTATTCCAATGGGAAGAGACAGACAATAAACCAAGTGAAATACTTAGTATGACAAAATTCAAAGATTTCTAATTTAAAAAATTGTCAAATATTTAATAAACAAGAATTTAAAAATTTGCAGTTCTGAATAGACTGCAAATTTTATATCAGTGTAATCCCAGAACCTAATACAGTGCTGGGCTCATATGCATTCAAATATTTCAAAAAAAATTTGTTGAGTGACTGAATGAACTAATGAACACAGTTTATGGGCTCTGTAAATAGCCCTGACTGTGTATCTCAATTCCATGCCACGTTTTCTTTTTGTACTTGCTTACTTTTAAAACAGGTTTGAAGTAATTTACAAATAAAAGGTAAAGAATGTGGCCCAAGCAATAAAAGAAGAAATATAGTCCTGGCATATGGCTTTTCTTTTGTATTTTAATAGAGGGCTTGAACATAGTAGGTAATCAATAGCTTAAGTGAAAGTTTATTTGATAGCAGTTTATCAAAGGATATGTACATATTTTCACATGACCTTTTAAAAAGTATGCTATTGCTGAGATGGGCAGGTCCAAATGTGATTTTAGAAGAAAAGGAAAAAAAAACCTGACCCAATAAAGTACTTCTATGGGCACTAGAGTAATAATAGTCCAATGCGTGTGGCTTTCTTTAAAGTTCCAAGAATAGAACTTAATATAAAGTAGACTGTCAATAAATGTTGACATAACACCCTCAGATAAAGTTGATCCTTAGATTATTTCTATAGCATGGTAGTAAGACCGTGTAATTAGCAGAAGAGAGGATGTTCTTTTTTTTTTGCTTTGTAGAGTTAAAGCATCCTATGGTGTGCTTCCCACCAGAGGAGTTCAGCATCTCAATAACCCTTGATGAAATAATGGCTCTTATCAATTTCTTCATCTGAGTGCACAGCTTTCAGGAATCCACACAGGTGGGTGAGAGAAGATACCAGTTGCCTAGCCGGTCACATCAGCCAAATCAAGGCTAACAATCCATGGATGTGCATCATACTAAAGAGGCAATGTAGTGTCAGGCAAAACTGAATCCCAGTCTCAGTTCTAGTAATTATTTAACCTAGTTAGAAAAAATCAAGGCAGCAATATGTTGTAAATGAAATAATACTATTTTCAAGTCATCAGAGTGCCAGGTACATGAGCTCAATAATATTTGGAATTATTGCTGTTGAATGTAGATAACATCTGGGATATTTTGGAGGCTTGGTTTTTGAGCTATCAGCAGGAAGAAAATGTAGGAAAATCATATGATGGGGTGAAAAACAGGCTACATGAGATTTGAAGTATCATCTAGACAGGATCTTTAGATAGAATCATCATCTCAAAAAGGGGGTAAGGTGTTACTTACACAGAGGAGAACAATTGAGAAGTTCTAGATGGTGAAAAATGATGTTACACAGGATGGCTTATAAGCTAGAGTCATGCTGGTCTACGTAAGCCAGATCAGCAGGAACTAAGTAAGGCTTGTATGACATTCTGCCTCTTCAACCCTAAGTGTTTGAAGAAATTCAAGAGATTGTGTTCAATGAGCAGCCAGTACAACTCGATTTCTTTTTTGAGAAAAGTCTTAATGTTAACATGGTAAGAAAGAAAAACACTTGCCCATGTCTTACGGGTAATGGGAAATATGATGGGACAAGTATGGGCATTCTTCTCAGCAAGAAGCCCTTCCTTTAAATCATTCCTTTTTCCATTCTTCCCCTACCCTCCCTTCCTTCCATCTTCCCTTCCTCTCCTTTCTTCTATTTTCTCTTTTCTTTCCTACCTCATTTTATAAGGGTCTAACATGGAGTGATTTCTTCATTGTTATTTGCCATTGGATTCTGGATAAGCCAGGTGCTGAAAAATGTTGTTCAGGTTTTAGTTTGGCTGGATTAGACCTGATGTATTTTTCATTCTCCCTTTCCATATCTCCTAATGTAAAAAAAAAAAAAAAAAAAAAAAAAGCAGCATTCATATGAAAAAATATATGGGTCATCAAGACAAGCTCTCCCATTGGAGAACAGGAAACTGGACTTGTGATGACTGTGAATGAACTCTCTGAGAACCAAATGAAACTCACAGAAATAGAAACCAGATGTAAGCAATCATGAATCCAGGGCACTAATCTGCCTCCAGTTTATTTTTAGCAGAAATATTATTGAAGTCTTTTCAGTACATAATTAATTTTCAAGGATTGCCATTAACCTCATAGTATGAGATGGGACAAGAAAATTTTTGCATGTAAGGTTTGAGTGGAAAATAATGATTTTTAAGTAGTTTGCTATGTGTTTGGTGAGGTAGGGTGTTCTATGGTTTTTAGTTTTCTCAGTTTGACCTAGGAGTAATGACTCTCCCAGCCAAACATAATCCATCTTTAGATAATAGTGGCTGTTTATATATTTAGGATGTGTCAACCTCCTCAAGGCTGGGAAGTATCAAGGCCTAATATAATATTTGGCTTTCATGTTCTGGGTGTGCAACAAGAGGACCAACAGTCTTGTTAGCTAAAATCAACCCAAAGTATTAGAGTTTGGACATGAACTTGGCCTGCCCATGCCAGAGGGAATACAAGTACCTTCTTTCAGGCTCCGAATGAAATCATTAATTATGTCAGCAGTTCCAGCGATAGACCTGGAGACACTTTGCACTACTTAGCAAACAAGCTACCTTCTCAACTGTTTAGAAGTCTGGGGAAGATCTTAAAAATCTGTACTCACTATACTTACACAGCCCTTTCCCTGCATATCCTCAAACTTTCCTTGATCCTGTGTCTCTTTGGTTTTACCACACCAGGGTTGGAATGAGATGAGGGAAATAATGCGGTTGTGATGGCCAGACTGTGTATTATAGATCTGAAAGTACACCCTGGTGCACCTCGACAATGAAACTTTTTTTAAGACGTGGGTTTTTTGGAACCATATCAACCACACTGGAGCTCCTGCTCCATTTAAGGCCATCATAGGTCTTTTAAAGAGTAATTTAACTGTTACAGACATGTACTTTTTTGCCTATTAAGAACAGCTTTACAAAGAATGTGACCTGTGTTTACAGGACAAAAACCTTTTTTTATCCTTTCCACAAAAAGCGGCTTCCTTTTTTTAACCATTAGAAGCACCTTGGCAATTCTCTGTGTAATTAACAGCTTAGCAGGATGGAAAGTAAAAGAGCAAAGTGCAACAGAATTGTGCTAAGGTCAGTTGAAATTTTTTTAAGCATAAAGTACTCCCACATAATAATTGATCTCAATATATCATGATGCAGCAAGAGTCCACGTTCATTCCCCACGCCCCCTTATTTACCTGTCCCTGGGAAGAGAAGCACAAATGAAGTGAGGAGAGAAATAGCTTCAGGAAAGCTTATAATACCATGCATTCAGCACATGGAGATGTTTTTGAGGCTGAAAGGGACCCGGGATGCCCCCCAAATCTACCATGGCTTTTTTTTTTTTTAATATGCTCTAGCAAAGTTTTCCAGCAACAGATCAAAAAGCTTTGTATATGGATTTTGGAAAAGACGTCTAAAATAATTAAAAATATACTTTCATCTCTCAAAAGTGAGGAGAACTGCAATTCAATTTGATTCCACAGATCTCTTTGGAGGACCTGCTCTGGGCTCACAGCAGTGTTGGGCACATGGGGAAAGTGATCACAACACAAACAAGAGACTCATGAGGTGCTTATTTGTTTGTTTGGGTTTTAGCTCATGATCAGTTCCACCAGTTGAATGCTTTCCTTTTAAAAGCAAGGGGGGAAAAGGTCTAGCATCTTCAACAGAACAACTGGTAGAATGCTTTCTCCCTAACAAATGTGATGAATTTAATTGATCAAATAATGAGATCTTTAAAATCTAATAAGAAGCTGTTGGAGAAAACTTTCTTTTAAAAAACAATAAGGAAACTGAAGAAAATTAGATTGAACTTTAAAGGGAAAACTCTCAATCAGTATCACTATGGGAGACAGGAAAATGTGAAGCCACAGAGAGGGTAAAAACAAAACAAAAAAGCACCCTAAGTTGTACAAGCAGATAAAGTATAAGAGAATGAAATCTATTTATATTACTATATATTCTTTTCTTTCATAGAAAGGAGGTCTAAGAGATGCACAGAAGGCCAGCTACCAAAGAGTCACGGAACAAAACTAAACTCCCACATTTCAAAATAATAATACAATATTACGATGATGGTTTATTTCTTGCTTTTCAAAACCTGGGTACACATTCAAATCTTATTTCCTTAATTTTTGTAAATAGAGAGAAGGAAAGTAAAATACATTATATCGATTTTATTGACTTGGGAAAACATTTAGAAGAATTTATAGAAATATTTCATTTTCCCCACGGACAATGTTTATACTTAGACCCAGAAGCTGAGAGAGGAAAAAAGCTATTAAAAATTATTGAATCCTAATATTTTCTATTGAATGTCAAATATTCTAAAAGTTATTTATAAGTACGCCCACACACACCCTTTTGTTAATTTGCCACACCACAATTAGAAGGAAGGGTAAAAGCAGCAATCTGATATCTTGTACAGAAATAAGTAAAAGATTCTCTTATGTGTTGGATGTTTATTAAATATATTCCCATAAATAAAGGTGTGTAATACAAATGAGTTATAAATGTTTATAATATTTTGCAGTCTTTTGTAGTATTTGAGGTAATTCGTTATTCAGTTGAAGATGAGATCTCTATCCAAGTTAAGTAAGGAGAAAATTGCCAGGATAAATTAAGAGACAAAAAAGTAAAATGTGGAGATAATTTAATTGCCTTAAACATGTATAGAAGCTTACCTTTGTAAATGTTTTTTCATAAGAATATGTCACAAGAACTGGGCAAAACTGTACCTACAAGGAAACTCCCATAGCATTTGTTTTCTCCTTTGCTAGGAGTGGCGATCAGACACACTGCTCAGGACAATGGTGATTAATGAAGTCGCCCCACTGAACAATATGCTACAAAGGGCTTCACCACTCCTAGAGAAGAAACTGTCCAATTTTCCTGAGATACCGGACAATCTCCTGGCAGCAGTTTCCCCACTCAATGAAAGCAGGTGTTGGGGACATCCCACATGGTGCAAATGCTGGTGGATGCTTTTAACAAACAGAAGCCTAACAAGATCATCAACTTGCTTCTCTCTCTTTAGAGAACAGAACCTTAGCAAAGGAAAAGGAGAGAGGCTACTAAAATGGATGGACGTTTCTTAAAGCATGTGAAACGTTGCCTGAGTGGGGAAAGACACGTTCAGGAAGGAACTAAAAGGAAACCCACAATTTGGAATCGGGAGATTTTTCCGTCTATCTCTGGAATTCGGCCTCTGTGCAAGAGCGCGTCCTGGAGTTGTGCAAACACACGTCCAGCCTCGTGTCGGGCGCACACCGGCTGGATCGCTGGCAGGCTGGGGCTCTGGGGCGTTGCGGCCCCTGGGGTAGGGGGGTCTGTGCCTCACCAGGACAGCCCGAGGACGCACATCAACGAGCCTTAACCACCATGGACAGCTCACTGGCTTCCCCCAGCCAGCTCTGCGCAATTTACAAACTCCATAGGAGCCACCAGCTAGATTGATTTTTATGCCCTGGAGAGATGCCACGTGTTCCATGGCCCACGGTCTACACCCCCAACCCCCACCCTGCGATCGCCAACTGTAACCACTGAGCAGTTATATATAGACAGAGCGGGCTTCGGGGATTAATAATCTTCTCCTTGCCCTCAATTCCGTCCTTTAAGATGCCACCGGATTCCAAGAATCAGACGGAGGGAGTTGGCAGACAGAACTTCGTTCCACGTCCGTTCATATCCTCTCCTCTCCCGCGCCGCACCTCACCCGGCCTTGACTTTGCAGATCGCTTTAAGTGAAATAAAACAGACGGGTCCCGGGGCTCCGGCAGGGCCGAGCTTTACGGGCGCAGGGGAGGCGCGCTGGGAGAGAGCGAGTCGGGGCTCCCGGAGGAAGGGAGTCGCCCCTCCACACCCCGACGCGGCCCCGGACAGGGCCAGGCCAGGGAGGGGGTACGTCTGCCTCATCCTTCTCTCCCCGCGCCCCCACGGGGAAGTCAGCGTCACCGTCTGCCTAGGGCTTATCTCATGTTTGAGTCATAAATTGACCTGGAGGGAGAGGGGAGGGGAGGAAGAGCCCTGCTCAGAGGAAGTTCGCGCGCTCCCTCCGACCCTGTCCTTGGGTCTCGGGGTTCCCGAAGTTTTCCCTTACCCGCAGCCAGATACGGGGCTCTCCCGGGAGGAGGGGGGCGCGCAGGACCAGAGACTCCGAGTATACTCGGGTTAGAAACCAAGCACCCAAGCCGGCGGGACAGGGCGGGGCAGAACGCAAAGACCTCAATAATACCGCTCCGGGCAAGAAGGATTCTGTGCGGCAGTCCGGAGTCCAGACTCTTAGGGACTGAAGCCCGAGGAGAACCTAGGGGAAGTAGTAGCTAGATCCGCTCACGGGCCCCGAGACCCCCGAAGTTCCCATGGAGCCTAAGATCCCCAGGAGCCAAGCCTGCCCCGTCCCTGCGGATCAGCTTCCTAATGGGCGACCCAAGTCTATCGCAGGCGGTGGGGATGAGGACGCTGGGTGGGAGGAGGGGAGGGGAGGCTGAAAAAGATCATCCCCCTTGCCCTAAGGCCTCTCCCAAGACCCTGGACCCCTGCCCTAAGAGACTCAGGCCTCCCTTGCTGCAGTGGGAGCGCAAACACCAGGGCAGGAGACTCCAGAGAAGGAGCGCATAACTCAACGTTTGCTCTCCTGAAGCCTTATTTCTGATAAAAATTACAGAAAAGTTAGGCAGGATCCAAAGACACCGTAATGACCAGCTCAAAGCCAAACAGACAGGACATCCAGTGCGGGTGTCTGGATAGGTATCCTTCCTGCCGGAGAGTTTAGACATCTCAGTCCGGGTGCTGCCCTGGGAAGGGACTTCGAGGCCAGCGTGGCACGGGCAGAGAATGGTGTTAGGGAGGTAAAATGCTTGCGGGGGCAGCCCCTTTTAGGCAGCCCCCGGCTCAAAATTTAAGAAAGGACCATTCGGTTCATGTGGGGAACTGGGCTGCTGCCAGGAGGGCCCTGTGATGCCACCGGAGATTGACTTCAGGTTGAGAGGTTGTCGCCTGAGCCAGGTGGGGCTTGGAACTCTCTCTGTGGCCTCGTACAAGTCCAGAGCTGCCTACTTTCAGGAGCCAAAAACTTGGCCAGCCAAGGGCAGGCATCTGGCTGGCTGGCACCAGTCCAGGAGATCAGGACTGGGACACTGCACATTCATATTCTCTCTCTCTCTCTCTCTCTCTCTCTCTCACACACACACACACACACACACACACACACACACAGAGACATATCTGAAGAAGACTCTTCAGATATGTTTCAATTGTCAGGAGTTTGCGAGGTGCTCAAGTGCTTGACCTTTAAGAACCGGTTCTCAGAGACCCCCATTTCCTAAAGACCTTCTCATCTCACATTGGTTTGGGTTCCTCCCAGGAAACCGCCTCCTCTCTGGGCCTCCTGCTTCAGTTTGGGGGAAGCAGAACATTGCCCAGGAAGTAGGGAAGGGTGAGGAAGGGTGTGAGGCCCACTTTTCCCATGGGAGGATCCCATCAGCTTGATGCATATCTATACACTCCTCCCTGAGGCAGTTCCTCCAGAGGTTAGCAGCCCGCCCTGTTCCTGGAGAAGTCTTATCCTCACCTAACTACAAAAAGATTTAATAAAGAAACACACCCTTTCCTATTGTTACTTGGGGTTTGAAGGCATTACATCTTTTTTTCTTTTTTGCTACCTTGAGGTCAGCTGGCAACAGCCTCCTCTCAAGTCTCAGTCCAGGCGAGCGATGAGAGCCACATTCTAATGGAATCCAATGAGAGCATTACTTGAGCTGATTATGCAACGTCTCTTTGTAAACATTGAAAAAAGTTTGGAGAAGAGATGGGATGAGTTTAGTTGTTTGGTTCCAGGGGATTTTAGAGACATAGCTTGCAGCTACAGATTGGTAAATGTGAAATCTGGATGCTTATTGGTAATAAGAGAATTCCCAAGCCCAGGTGCACTGTTTAAAGTGCTATAGATTCATATTTGGTTTATAATGTATATCTGTTTGCTGTTTGGGTTAAGGAGGAAAGAAGAAAGAAGGATGAAGAGGCTAAGCATAAATGCTATTTACTTTTTTCTAAGCTATGACAGGAGATATACATTAACTGGGTATTCAACTGAATTTAAGAGTAATGCATTTAAAATTTTTTCAACCTCTTTTAAAATTTGATATACTGTAATAAACTGCCACTGGGGATGGGAAGATGGAAGCCTGGTGCTCATGGGCTAGGCATTTGTGTAGGTGTAGATCTTATAATGCTAAACATGGAAATACTTCAGATTAGAGGCAGGCCTTCCCATTTGCTAAGGTGCATTTACATGACAGCAAGGCCTAAGCAAACATTTAGCTTCTATTGGCACTTGTTCTATTTCTAAACCTTAGAAAAAAGGTGTGTGTGTGGGCTGGGGGGACGGGGGGGGGAGGGAGGTGGTAGGGGGTGCTCTTGCTGTGTCTCATTTGCAGTCATGCATCCTCTGCATTATTATGATGGAGATTACTCAGTTATGTTAGGAACTAGATTATGATGTCAGAAAATATCCTTTCCAAAACAGGCAAAAAGTCAGGGTCCTGGGTATATATTGAGGAGAATTTCTACGGAAAGTAATAAACAGGGCAGCTTGGAAGAGGTACCTGCTTTCTAATAATTGCCTTTAGTGGGAACAGAAGTCTCCTTTCAAGAAGCTTTTAATTCATTTTAAGATTTAATTTTATGTTTTCTGAAGAACAACAAAAAATATTTCTGGAAAAGACTGCTGAGAAGATTTCCCTCTTTCAGCCAGAAGAGCAGAGAGAAGATTGTAAATCAAGGAAAAGGTGAAGTAATAAATTAGGAGGGAACTTTGGTATTCCGAGTATATAAAGACTATTTATTTTTCCTGTGTCTATATTTTCTCTTTTTGTGGAGGAGAGGAAATTCTAAAAATATTTGATAGATGTTTTGCCATTAACACCAGAAAAGTGTGTGGGGAAAAAGAAAGGAGGGAAGGAGTGGGGGGTTAATTTTGTTTAATTAGTAGAAAAAGCAACATAAATCAAAGCAGTCTATTGATGCCAGTCCTTAATTTATAATGTTCTGAAAGTAAAGTGAATTTATTTACAACATAAGTGATTTGATAATTTCAATCTGATTTTTGTTTTAACCTTCTATTGGGAGAAGGGTTGACTTTTTAAAGCCTGGATAGTTTGAAACTTGGCTAGGTACCTTGGACTTTTTATTGTGGAAGCAAATATTATCATTTCAATGTTAAACAACTTGCAAGTATTAAATGGCTCATTTGTGATTGACTTTTTTTTTTTTTTTTTTTTTTTTTTTACAGATTTCCCCCTTCAGATCTAACGATTACATTAGGGCTCCTGCATCTTTTTGGAAGGATTCTTTTTATAAATCAGAAAGTGTTCGAGGTTCAAAGGTTGACATTTCTGAGTGCTGATACTTTGTCCTTTCATACTATCCAAACAAGTCTAACATTTAGAAATCCTTACACATTCAAGGGAAGTTGTGGAAATTCCCAGAGAGAGAGTGTGTGTGTGTGCGTGTGTGTGTTTTGGTTTTGTTTTGCTTTTTTTCTTTGTTAGTGAGAAGAAGCCGAGTCTTTTAAGGTACGGGGTTTACAGTAATGAACTGAGGAAGGCAGGAGCTTCTAAGAAAATATGCCCCCCCACCCAACCTAAGCAGTAAACTTTAACTGCTAGCTAGCTGCAGTGAACCAGTGGGAGCCCCGATGAGCGAGGGTCTCGGTGACAGCGTGCTATTTCTCCCACCCTGGGTAAAATATGTGGAGCATCACCCGGAAAGTCGGGCTTGATAAAGGCCACATTCCTTGAATCATCTCAAGAATCTAAATCACACTAGCCTTCTAGAAACTAATGAACCCTACCAGCAGGATTGCCTAGAAGACAAATATCCCTTGAATGGTTCCCAGTCCACTCGCGCTCTTTTCAAAAAGTTAGAGGAGCCCTGGGGAGGGTATCCACTCCCGCTGCAATCCTTTCCTAGATGATACTACCCAGTAATTCCGAGCAGTCTTTCTTCCCCGCCCATTAGCTTTGGAAAGAACCTCGGCTTTCCCGTCGCTTCTCCCAGGCAGAGCAGCACATAACCATAGTTCCACTGCATCTGTCCGCTGGCTGCAGCGACTCGGATACAGTCTTCCAAGAATCTGTAACCTGGGACTTTTGAGGGGGAGGGGACAAGCAGGTAGGGTATCAGAGAAAGGATGGGTTAGACTCCCGACCATGAGTGAAAAGGGCCGTGTGCGTGCTCCAGGAGTGTCGGTCCCCCTCTGCAATTCAAAAGGGGGATCTCTCCTGTGCGCGGGTTTTTTGGGACCGGCTCCAGATGTCTCCCAGCAGTTCTGAAACAGCAAAAAGTGCAATTTAGATATGAAATCTGGAACTGTTTTTGTTCTTCTAAGCAAAAGATCTCCCTCTCTCTAGCCGATGCTCCCCACTCAGTTCATCCCGGGAATGGGCCAGGGAGGAAGGTTCTCATGCATCGCCCCGAGCTGCCAGGCGAGCTTCGGGCTCCTTAAATTCACAGGCCAACAGCCCGCGTCCTCTCCGCGCAGGCTCCCGGTTGCCCGCGGTCCCCGGCCCAGCTCCTTGGCCTCCTCCTCGTCGGTCCGCCCCTGGTGGTCTTGGCGCCCGCTCGTCCAGCTCGGCGCGCCGGGGACCGCCGGCTGCCCGGGGCAGTCCGCACGCCCTCGGGGATCTCGGCTCCCGGATCCGCCGCGCCGGCAGGAGCCGGCCGGGCCTGGAGGGAGCAAGCGGATGCGCCCACGCCCCCGGCACGGGGATGGCGCGACAGGGCCCGGGCTCCGGGGTGGGGCTCGGCAGAGCTCCTGACAGCTCCGGGGTCGGCAGCGCGGGAGGGGGGAGCTCCGCCGCTCGCCGCTCATTCCCGGCTCGGGGCTCCCCTCCACTCGCTCGGGCGGCGCGGGGCCCGTTCGGGCCGCCCGTCGCCGCCCCCGCCCCCCGCGCGCCCGCCCGCCAGCCCGCCTGCGCCCTCGCTCGCCCCGCGCGCGTTCCTAGGGCGCCACCTCTTTGCGACTAGCTCACTTCTCCGGCAGGTTTGCCTCGGAGCGTGTGAACATTCCTCCGCTCGGTTTTCAACTCGCCTCCAACCTGCGCCGCCCGGCCAGCATGTCTCCCCGCCCGTGAAGCGGGGCTGCCGCCTCCCTGCCGCTCCGGCTGCCACTAACGACCCGCCCTCGCCGCCACCTGGCCCTCCTGATCGACGACACACGCACTTGAAACTTGTTCTCAGGGTGTGTGGAATCAACTTTCCGGAAGCAACCAGCCCACCAGAGGAGGTAGACAGACAGCTATGTATATATATGTGGGTTTCGCTACAAGTGGCTCTGGAACGAAAGGGCCTGGTTCGCAAAGAAGCTGACTTCAGAGGGGGAAACTTTCTTCTTTTAGGAGGCGGTTAGCCCTGTTCCACGAACCCAGGAGAACTGCTGGCCAGATTAATTAGACATTGCTATGGGAGACGTGTAAACACACTACTTATCATTGATGCATATATAAAACCATTTTATTTTCGCTATTATTTCAGAGGAAGCGCCTCTGATTTGTTTCTTTTTTCCCTTTTTGCTCTTTCTGGCTGTGTGGTTTGGAGAAAGCACAGTTGGAGTAGCCGGTTGCTAAATAAGTAAGTGCTGAGAGGCTCCAGAGAAATTTTTTTTCTTTTCAACTTGGGAGATGCCCTTGATGTTGAAGAGGCTTTTTGAGAGCGGGCTAAAAAGGGGGAGCGGAGTAGTGCGGGGAGATGGAGAGTCCAGACTGACACTCGGGTCCCATTCCCTTCTGTTGCAGGTCCCGAGCGCGAGCGGAGACGATGCAGCGGAGACTGGTTCAGCAGTGGAGCGTCGCGGTGTTCCTGCTGAGCTACGCGGTGCCCTCCTGCGGGCGCTCGGTGGAGGGTCTCAGCCGCCGCCTGTAAGTGCCCCATCCTCCCCAGGGCGCCGGGTTGGGGAGGCCAGGGGGAGGGGCTGCCAAGCTGGGATGCTGCCGAGGGCTTGCAGCGGTCACCGATGCTCCTTGCCCGGGTTAGGGAGAGGGACCATCCCGGATACCTGCCGGGGCCTGAGCCCGGGTCCTCAAACCTGGCAGGAGAACTGGTTGATCTTCAACGGGAGACAGGCAAGAGAGAGACTTTATGTGTGTTTCCATAAGAGGGAGCGTTTCACAGAATCTCTTCTAGGGAAAGATCCTCTGCCTCTAGTGGAAAAGAAAAAAAGTTGGGGGGTGGTGGTTACTGTCAGGACCCGGGAAGCTTCTGAAACTCGGAGGAAGCTGAGCGGTCCTGGGGACGTATGGCCTGCGCGCTTGTATACATACTGAATGTGGGTGGCGGTTTGCGTGTGAAAAAGCAAAAGCCGTACATCTAATTTTATTATGAATGACATAATTTTAAGCATATAAAATAGGAACACATTACATAATAAAAGCGTATTATATAATAAAGTAGCAACAACTTTGCAGTGGCACGACTCCAATGTTAGTATTGATACAGTTCAGGAACGCTAGAGCGCTTGATTCCAAAATGAATTTTAGGTGTGGAACCTTTTTTTTCTTGGAGTTATTGCTAACAGTTCTTTAATCTGGAGTCAAATATTTGCATTGTAGACTGAAAACTTGTATTTTGGCATTCTCACTTGGTGATTCTTTTAATGATAACTTCAACTTTGAAATAATCATACATCCAAGCACACCAGAGAAATATCACTATGTCGTGTGACTGAAAACTTGGAAGAGTGATAGAGTAACATGATCTTAATAATCTGTTGGACCTAGCAGTTCACTAATGTGTATAACACCATAGTTGGGTGATCTTTAAACTGCAGACTCAGTGTTCAGAATGGGAAAACTATAAAGTTCGAGAACTGAGATGCGTTTGACTCTGGAGAAGGAATTAAGGCAAATTTTTACACTAACAATAAAAATAGCAGTATCTAATATTTACAGTCAGGTTTATGGTGCTTCCTTGTAAATTCCCGAGGGTGTACAAAAAGGCAACTGTTTTATACGTGCTTGTGGTCTATTATTATTAGAGGAGAAAATCCTTAAATGAAATTACTTTAGACATGTCGGAACCTTGGCATCAAAATGAAAATCTATTATGAATCTCCTAAGGCAAATTGTGTAGAACATTATACCGAAGATAAGGCTGCATTGTATTCTTCAGATCAACATTTTACCGATGTGTTTCTGAAAATTGTCTTCAGACTTTTTGCTCATTTTGAAACTTGTCTTAAATTCAATAATTTGAAATTCATACATAAATAGAAATGAAGACTGAATTTTTAAAAGCACACTTAAATACTATATTTATTTGGCTAAGAAATACTACCTTGGAACAGAGCCAATTTTTTCTTTAAAGTTGCTTAAGAAATACCTGTTTTCTCTTTTGAGAAACAGCAAATGATTCACGATTATATACACAACTATGGCATAAAAATACTGCTAAGTTGTCCTAAAGGCTATTTTTAACTCTTTCTTTGTTGCACCTTACAAAACACACATCAGAAACCATTTAGCAGCCAGCGACTGTTATAGTTTTGTTTGTGGGTGAAATATAATATTGTAGTTAAACACTCACACTCAGCAGATGGTTATAAAACTACCACAAAACATTCTCATAGTTAATGGGTAATAGATCATCACATTACAGGCATGGTTTTTCATGGAGGCTGAAATCATCAGTAGATGAAGATGTTTCATCAAATTATCATAGCCAAATGGAGTTTTTAAAAACAAGTCATTATTTTTGTCTTGCTGCCAAGTAACAGTAAATTTTGTGTGCTAGACAAAACATAAGTCTACCATTATGCTAAATCAAGCTAGTTTCTTGAAAGAAATTTTAACATATAATCAAACCATATTACTCCCCGGTTTTCACACCAAGTATTAGGGAAACTGCTTTAGAAGTATAGATTTTTTTTTTAACTAGATGCTAACTTTTAAGGGAGAGGAAATTACTATAACAATAAGACTTCCTAAACCATGCAAAGGAAGCAGTTACAAATTGTGAGTCTTTTTGACCTGTTAATCCCAAAGATTTTAATTAATGGAGCTAGAGCATGATCAAGTTGGATACTGGAAAGTGAGGCCTATGGATGTTCTTGTGCAGATGAACAAGGCTTCTGGCAGGTGGCTATCTCTATGTTTAAGTTAGAGAGGGAACTCCACAGATTCAGAAACCTAAAACGTCATTGGCTGATTTGCTTAGGAGCCAGACTGGGTCTATTCCATTTAATGAAAAGCATAACTTTCTACTGAGTCATTTGGGTTGGAAGGACCTTCTGGTGAGTCATCTTAACTCTAACACCCTAACCCTGTCTCTTGCATGTACCACAGAACTTTTCTTCTCAAACACAGAGTCCGTCCTTAGAAGCCTAGCATCAGTACAAGCATACTGCTTCTTCCTGTGCTGGAAAGGGAATTTCCATCACTGTTTTTATGCCCTCTGTTCCTTGATAGTTCCTTAGAAATCTAAGCTTCTTCCCTAAAAACTCCCTTGGAGTGATTTTTTTTTTAAAGGAGAAGAACTATGTTTGGGCTGAATTTAGGGTTATCTATGATAAGCATTTCCCCAAAATTTTGCAATTTTTTTTTACAATAATCAAAGGAGAACATGATACATAACCTACCTGTTTTTCCATTTTGGAGCTTAGGTATGTAAGTGTCATGTGAACCATAGTGCTATGTAATGTTTACAGACAAATTGAGTAAAAGACTATTATTGAGGCCATATTTACAACTTAAATATTTCAGAGTTATCTAAATTGAAAACGTCCTTAATTTGAATTTATTACTCACTACCTCTGTATACCTAGTTTATACTGATGCCATTATATTCCTGATCCTCTAATGCAACTGCCTAGTGAGAGATTCATTCTTCACAATACTTTAATTGCAGAAGTTTTTGAAATACTAAGTAAAGTGTCTAACAGCATTTCCAATTTAGCATTTAAGAAAACTTGTGTTTTCCAAGATACTAACAGTTTCCCCCAAAAGGCAGATGAAAAGCTTTGTCCCTCGTAAGCAATGTACTATTTTAAATTGAACAAAGCTGTGCCATATTGTAGGCTTTTTATAAATTAGAAGGATGGAATGATCACTGCATTTCCCAAGAGAACTATCCTGGGAAAATGCAGCTTGAGTTAGGAAGGCACTGTGACTCACAGTTGACAGGCTGGCCAAGATGACAAGCACATATGCCCATGAGAAGGGGCATATGAGCAATGGTGGCTTAATTAGAATAGACCAACCATTAAAAGTTTTGGCCTCAAGTTAAGCTAAAATGGGCTACACTTTATCCATTTGGAGAGCAATACAGAAGACGAGGGCTTCTGCCAGGAACAGAGAAAGAAATAAAAGCCCCCAATACTATAAATTATCAGTGGTTAAGAACTGCTTTTTAATGTGACATTTTGCTAAAAGATACTTATTAAACTGTAGTGCTTATGAAATATGCAATTATATCTGTCCTATTATTTTATAAATGTTATTAAAGGATATAAATACCTTGTACCAAAGCCTCAAACTTGTAGATTCTTAAAAGTTTCCAGAATACTAACTATTACCGCAGAGTAAGTGAATTTTAATCTAGTCACATGTGGCACCTTCTAAAAGAAAGAGAGACTCCTTCATGCCTCATTTAAACCAGGCTCCTGTTAAATTCCTTTCCATTAAGTCATGTCTTTTTTGAATGAGCTACATGGCTTCAAGTCAGTCCACACACTAAAATACTAGAAGGTAGCTGACATTCTAGCTAGAAGGGCCAGAGAAATGATGACTGTATTTTCATCTCTTACTCTTTTCTTTGACTCATTCATCCAGTGATAATCCAAACTCTTGTAGTTCCTAAATTTGATGATGAAAATGAACTTTCTGGGCAATAGGCTTGATCTTCAAGGAAACTGATAAATTTCTGTCCAATCTGCCTATTATTGTGGTGGCTTGTTACTCTATGCCCCATGCATATACCCTGTACTCTCCTTACCGTGTTGCCTCAACACAGGAACAGGCTGGGACTTCAGCTTCAGCTTCCGCTTAGGCAGGAGAAAGCGTTGAGGAAATTGAAAAAGCAGTCTTGGCTTTAGAATCAGAAGACCTAGTTTTTGGAGCCCTGGCTCTGCCAGTTCTCATTGTGTAGACTAGGGCAAGTCATTTAACCTCTCTGCACCTCACTTTCCCCATGAATACAATGGGGGCAGTAATAATGCTATTTATGATTGCCATATTTCTCTGAGGAGTTAAAGACATTGCACCAACAAAGGCAACAAAGGACCCAGACACCATTGTTTCAGGGAAGTAAGAGTACATGGGATGTAGCCCTGGGAAACACTTTGAGATGCTTTTGAGGATGGGCCAGTTTGGAGGACTATTCCAATGGTAGAAATTGGAGTTAATGCAGAGTTGAAGCAGGCATGATATGACTGATTAACAGATGCAGTCCGTAAATATGGTTAATAATATACACAAAATAATAAAAGAATACACAATGGACATTTAAGCAAGAGTTTGGGTGTTATCTAAAAGGATTGATAGAGAATTAGTTTATTCTTTCTCACGATATTTTCATTAGAGTGTCATTTAAATAGAAAAATCCTTTATATTTTTTCCTAGAGAATTTTAAGACAAAGAGAGCAAGTAGAAAAGTGAACTTCTCAACTAAGTAGTAAGGATCATACTCTCTGAAGTTCTAAATTTAAAAAAAAAACATGAAGCACAGAAGAAATAGAATGAGCTCATTTAAGCACACAAAGAAACCCATTTTAAGGAGACCACCCACTACTTTACAGAAAAATACACATACTCTCCCTCTCTTTCTCTCTCTCTCTCTCTCTCTCTCTGACGATTGGCCTTCAAATGTATGTTCTTGGTAGCCAGTAGTCTAAAATGTTAAAGTTCAGTCTGTGAATCAGATGGTTTCCTAGACAGGCTACACTGCTCACTTCTCCTTCAGCCTTTGTTTGTTTTTACTCTTACGGCTTGCTGTTTCAATATTATTATTTTCTTAATGGGGCGTGTGTGTGTGTGTGTGAGAGAGAGAGAGGAGAGAGAGAGAGAGAGAGAGAGAGAGAGAGAGAATACTCAGGTAAAAGCAGCTGCCTTTTATTTCCCAGGCTGGGACTTCTAGATTTATTTTCTCAGCAGAACTCTGAAAAATGTGAAGAGATACTCCGTGGTTTCTGTCTATTTCTGATCATAACTGAATCATATGTTTTAAACCGGGAAGGAAGTATAGAAATCACTGTCTCTGACCCCTTCCTTTTATACAGTTGAAGCCCATGAGGCCCAAGAATGTTCATGTTCCCACCAAGGTCACAACCTAGTGAGTGGTAGAACTGGGACCATGAGCTGGAGCCTTCCAACTGCCAGCTCTTTCCTTCCCACTGGTTACCCTTCCCTGCGCAATGAGCTTGCTACCCATCCAGCTTGTGTCTTACGGTGGACCAACTAGAAAACTAAAGAGATTTACTCATGTCTTTGTTGTCTCTATCAGCAACTAAAATTTAACTGTTTTCTTCCCCTCTAATATTTTCTTTCAAAGCAAAAGAGCTGTGTCTGAACATCAGCTCCTCCATGACAAGGGGAAGTCCATCCAAGATTTACGGCGACGATTCTTCCTTCACCATCTGATCGCAGAAATCCACACAGCTGAAATCAGAGCTACCTCGGAGGTGTCCCCTAACTCCAAGCCCTCTCCCAACACAAAGAACCACCCCGTCCGATTTGGGTCTGATGATGAGGGCAGATACCTAACTCAGGAAACTAACAAGGTGGAGACGTACAAAGAGCAGCCGCTCAAGACACCTGGGAAGAAAAAGAAAGGCAAGCCCGGGAAACGCAAGGAGCAGGAAAAGAAAAAACGGCGAACTCGCTCTGCCTGGTTAGACTCTGGAGTGACTGGGAGTGGGCTAGAAGGGGACCACCTGTCTGACACCTCCACAACGTCGCTGGAGCTCGATTCACGGTAACAGGCTTCTCTGGCCCGTAGCCTCAGCGGGGTGCTCTCAGCTGGGTTTTGGAGCCTCCCTTCTGCCTTGGCTTGGACAAACCTAGAATTTTCTCCCTTTATGTATCTCTATCGATTGTGTAGCAATTGACAGAGAATAACTCAGAATATTGTCTGCCTTAAAGCAGTACCCCCCTACCACACACACCCCTGTCCTCCAGCACCATAGAGAGGCGCTAGAGCCCATTCCTCTTTCTCCACCGTCACCCAACATCAATCCTTTACCACTCTACCAAATAATTTCATATTCAAGCTTCAGAAGCTAGTGACCATCTTCATAATTTGCTGGAGAAGTGTGTTTCTTCCCCTTACTCTCACACCTGGGCAAACTTTCTTCAGTGTTTTTCATTTCTTACGTTCTTTCACTTCAAGGGAGAATATAGAAGCATTTGATATTATCTACAAACACTGCAGAACAGCATCATGTCATAAACGATTCTGAGCCATTCACACTTTTTATTTAATTAAATGTATTTAATTAAATCTCAAATTTATTTTAATGTAAAGAACTTAAATTATGTTTTAAACACATGCCTTAAATTTGTTTAATTAAATTTAACTCTGGTTTCTACCAGCTCATACAAAATAAATGGTTTCTGAAAATGTTTAAGTATTAACTTACAAGGATATAGGTTTTTCTCATGTATCTTTTTGTTCATTGGCAAGATGAAATAATTTTTCTAGGGTAATGCCGTAGGAAAAATAAAACTTCACATTTATGTGGCTTGTTTATCCTTAGCTCACAGATTGAGGTAATAATGACACTCCTAGACTTTGGGATCAAATAACTTAGGGCCAAGTCTTGGGTCTGAATTTATTTAAGTTCACAACCTAGGGCAAGTTACTCTGCCTTTCTAAGACTCACTTACATCTTCTGTGAAATATAATTGTACCAACCTCATAGAGTTTGGTGTCAACTAAATGAGATTATATGTGGACTAAATATCTGTCATATAGTAAACACTCAATAAATTGCAACATATTATTTTGGTGTTTTTGGAACTAGTTCTGATTGTACCATCTACCTATCTATAATCTATTTCTATCTATCTATCTATCTATCTATCTATCTAGGGGGGTATGTTTCTATGAGGCAAAAAGTGGGGCAAATATTAATCCCATTTTATAAAATAGAAAGCCAAGGCATTCCACGGCTAAAAGACCTGAGTAGTCCTTGGAATTGAAATAGGTGGCCCCAAAGCTGGATTTATCTCCCTGTTTTCTGACACGTAGACAGTGCTATGTTTGCCCTGCTTCTTTATCGATGCATTTCCATTGAAATGATTTTTTTTTCTTTTCACTTTTCAGTACAGCACTTCTGTGGGGTTTGAAAAAAAAAAAGGAAAACAACAGAAGAACACATCATATGCAACTAATGATCTCATTATTTAAGAGTCCCCTGTTACTTCTTTAGTCATTTCCTTTGACTCTGCTACAGATAGGATTATAGGATGATGCTTCAAAGGGGACCTTGAACCTATTCACCATTATTTGTCTCTTTAAGCTGGCAAACCCATCATTAAATAGCACATAAAATAGCAATCATATGGGATAAGTAGTACAGCTTCAGTAATCAATGGGCAGTGGCACTAGAAAAATCTTGAGCACAGTGAATGACCTATCCTGCAAACATCTAATGGATCTCTAAAGGGTAACAAACCCTATAAATTCTGGCTTACTGCACATATTTAGTGTGTTTTAAGATAGGATCCTAACTGTATATATTTATAACTAATGTAAGGACCCTACTTTATTGCCAAAACCTATTTTTATCCATTGTCTCATATATATAAACATGTCATATATATAAACATATATATATAAACATATATGTATATAGTAAACATTCAATAAATTGCAACATATTATTTTGGTGTTTTTAGACCTAGTTCTGATTGTATCCTCTACCTATCATCTATCTATTTATATCTATCTATCTATCTAGGGGGATATGTTTCTATGAGGCAAAAAGTATATATATACGTATATATATATATATATATACGTATATATATATACGTATATATATGAGTTATAAAAAGAGGTATAAATAACTTTTGATGGATTTTATTTATTTCAAATTTGCAATGTTCTTTAAGTATCTGGAGAATTGATGAAAATTAACACTCGTCAATTCTTACGCCTGGAACTACCCCTAAGTTAAAGTAGGTCTAGTGAAAATTAGACAGTGGCCTAATCAAATCCAGACCTAGGGCTGAAAGAAATAGGAGGTTTCTGCTTTTCCTTTCTCTTCCCTGTTTGTGAGGGACATTCATGGAAAGAACTGTTTGGCAGCCAAATGTTGGCACTCTCCCAACACAATCCAACAGAGGTTCAGGGAAGAGTGAGGAAGCTTAGGAGTGTATTGATGAGAATGTATGGGGCCATGCAAGTTTTGTAATCCAGATAAAATCTTTTCAGAATACCTAAAGTTTTATAAGTGATAAGTCTTTTATTAACGTCCCCTCCTTAGTCTTTTTGCATTGTTACATGGTGAACCAAGAGATCTGATGATATGGCAAGCATGAACTTGATTATAATACATACAATAGTTTGAAAAACAATATTCTTTTTTTTTTTTTTTTTTTGAGACAGAGTCTTGCTCTGTTGCCCAGGCTGGAGTGAGATGGTGTAATCTCGGCTCACTGCAACCTCCGCCTCCTGGGTTCAAGAGATTCTCCTGCCTCAACTTCCTGAGTAGCTGGGATTGCAGGCACCCGCCACCATGCCTGGCTAATTTTTGTATTTTTAGTAGAGATGGGGTTTCGCCATGTTGGCCAGGCTGGTCTCGAACTCCTGACCTCAGGTGATCCACCTGCCCCAAAGTGCTGGGATTACAGGCATGAACCACCACACCGGCCAATAATACAGCATTCTTTTAGAAAAAACAACTGAGGTAAAATTGTCTATTTTCCTCTCACATGAACCATTCAGTGAAAAATATATAGCTTTAAATTGGAGGAATTATATTTTAGAATTTTCAATGCTTCAAATGTGATATCCAGATACAGTGGGACTCATTTGTTAGAAATCATATCATTTTTGCCTTGGAAAATACTGATTTATAAAAATATTAAAAGTCCATAGTAAAAAGAGCTAGGACTGTAAAATGCTGTCATATGCACACACATATAGTAAACATACACATACACTTTTAGATCCTGTTAGGTGTTTTACTTGGCTATTCCAATACATGCCTCTGTTAAAGGAGAAATCAAAAGAAAGGAGAATGAGCAAACATCTGAGCAGGGTGAGATACATAGAAGATTTCTCCTTGGTCCTTTAACTTACTTCTTTTTCTTTCTTTCTGAGGAAATAATTGTTAAAAATCCTCTTCCTTCCCTCTTTGTGTTATTCTTATACTCAATTCACAAAATACCATTTAGTACAAACACATTTAAAAATCAGTAAAGAATGCAGATTATTGAGTTTTGAGGTCATCTTTTTGGCTTTATTCATATCATCTATCCACATCCATCCACCAATTAAAATTTTAATCTTAAACTCTTCTTTTCTTTGCAGTTGGAGCGATTTTAACATTCCCACCAAAACCATTGGTGAAGAGATCAATAACCTAAGACATTAAAACACTTTTAAATGTTCAATTTGCTTTTTCTGTAAGCAGCATAGAAAACCCCAAAATTGTTAAGAATATGCTGCTTTGTAGGTCTTACACCCATATATGTCTGCCATGTAAAACTCTGCCACAACTCTGACTGTTAATTCAATGACATAGCCAATCAAATTCCATTCTGTAGTTGTTTCCTTGGGAACAAATACATAGACCACACAAAGAGAAGAGAAAGGGAGACAGAAAAGCAAAGAAAACTCCGCTAACCCATCTTAAAATACTGTCATTACAGTATTTAGATAGATTAGAAAAGGTGTCAGTTTCTAGTAACTTCAGAATAATAAAACAGACATGGTGATATGAAATACTGATATTTTATACTTTTAAATTAATTTATTCTTAATTATTCCCGCATTTACAGTAGACTTTCCCAATGCTAACAGAAAAATCCATTCAAAAACCAACAGAGTGAGAGACAAATGATTCTGTTTTAGTTTTGGCTTTGAAAACTACTACAAAATCCAATAATAGTTTCATTCATTAGTGTTTAAAGACAGCTAAAGAAATGCCAAATATCATATCATCAACTAAGATGGATATCATTATACCATCAACTCTATTTAACTACACATCCTTCCAATTGTTCCCAAAGTCCACACTTCCACTATCCTCACCACAGCCCACTATGTTGTGAGAGATTGTCCAAATGAGCACCTGAACAAAATAAACAAGCTTTGGATTGCCTAATTCAGGTGTCACTGGGGAATAAACTTCCAAGTGAATTGTATTTAATGATGGATGGTCCAACGTAACCTCATTTCCAAGTTCTTAAATTTGTCCCTTCTCTTCCCAAACTTGCCAGCTGGCAGTCTTGGAAAATTTTTCCACAGTCTCCTTTTTCTGACAGCATGATTGGAAACGCAGGCCCTTTTCCTTTCCGCACATATGGGCTAAGTCAGGTTGAAGACCCTGCCTGTAACAGAGGTTATGGAGATCTGGGTGGATCCCACAGATACCTCTTGCAGGAGATATTTACAAGAAGTTCCCTGAATCTCTTTCCATTGTGATTTTGCATTCCTTAGCTTATATCCTTTATATTTTATGTTTTCATTTGTAAAGAAAACTAACCTGTTTTCTCCTTTTCTTTCTCTTCCTTCTTTTTGCAGGAGGCATTGAAATTTTCAGCAGAGACCTTCCAAGGACATATTGCAGGATTCTGTAATAGTGAACATATGGAAAGTATTAGAAATATTTATTGTCTGTAAATACTGTAAATGCATTGGAATAAAACTGTCTCCCCCATTGCTCTATGAAACTGCACATTGGTCATTGTGAATATTTTTTTTTTGCCAAGGCTAATCCAATTATTATTATCACATTTACCATAATTTATTTTGTCCATTGATGTATTTATTTTGTAAATGTATCTTGGTGCTGCTGAATTTCTATATTTTTTGTAACATAATGCACTTTAGATATACATATCAAGTATGTTGATAAATGACACAATGAAGTGTCTCTATTTTGTGGTTGATTTTAATGAATGCCTAAATATAATTATCCAAATTGATTTTCCTTTGTGCATGTAAAAATAACAGTATTTTAAATTTGTAAAGAATGTCTAATAAAATATAATCTAATTACATCATGATTCAGAGAGTGAATTCTATCCTTTAAGATTTTTAGTAGAAGGAACATGATATGTTTTTTTAAAAAGCGATTTGAATACAATCTTAAACACAGTATGTTTATGTTGGTACACATTCCAAAAATTCTACATTAGCTTTTAGTTAAAAACAACTTAAAATGTATTTTGTTCAATATTTCAGTTCAAGTCAACAGCATGGCTGAACTATCTAGATGTCATTTTATAAAGTACATTCAATTTGAAGTTCAGACAGGAGTGGGCAGAAAAGAAGCAGAAAGAAATCAGGAGAAAGGATTAAAGACATTAAGTCCAGAAGGTTGGCCAGAGCTGGAAAAAAGGGAAAGAGGCCAGTCAGAGACTATAAGGCCGTAAATGTAAAGTGTAATTTAAGAGATTTTGCTCTTACTAGTAACAACGATATTAAGCATAAAAGAGCTAGTTGAGAATACTGCCTATTAAGGTTCCTAACAGAAAGGAGAAAGACTCAAGTTTGGGAAATAAGTAACTGCTCAAAAAGCTCTCAAAGGTGAGCATTGCTTTCCTGTGGTATCACAGTTCCTGGAATTCTAGTTGCAGACAGCTTGGTTGTGATGCCATGTGGAATCTCTTTTGTATTTTTTTTTTAACTTTTAAGTTCAGGTGTACATACACAGGTTTGTTACAGAGTAAACACGTGTCATGGGGGTTTGTTGTACCAATTATTTCATCACCCAGGTATTAAGCCTAGTATCCATTAGTTATTTTTCCTAATCCTCTCCCTCCTTCCACCCTCCACTATCCAATAGGCCTCAGTGTGTATTGTTCCCCTCTATGTGTCCATGTGTTCTCATCATTTAGCTCCCACTTATAAGTGAAAACATGTGGTGTTTGGTTTTCTGTTCCTGTGTTAGTTTCTAAGTATAATGGCCTCCAGCTCCATCCATGTCCCTGCAAAGGACAGTATCTCATTCTTTTTTATGGTCGCATAATATTCCATAGTGTATATGGACCACATTTTCTTTATCCAGTCTATCATTGATGGGCATTTAGGCTGATTCCACGTCTTTGCTATTGTCAATAGTGCTGCAATGAACATATGCATGCATGTGTCTTTGTAATAGAACAATTTGTATTCCTTTGGGTATATACCCAGTAATGGGATTGCTGGGTCAAGTGGTATTTCAGTCTTTAGGTCTTTGAGGAACTGCCACACTCTCTCCCACAGTGGCTAATCTAATTTACACCCCCACCAACAGTGTATAAACGTTCCTTTTTCTCCACAACCTCACCAGCATCTGTTATTTTTTGACTTTTGAATATCCTCCTAGTGGTTCCTACCATTATGTTCAGATGGAAACATGAACACATTTCCTTCTACAGATCTGTTTTCTTTGCTGTCTGCAGCTTAGTGAAAAACAGAACAAAAAACCTATGAATCAAGCAAGCACATATGGAGGAAGTATTCTATTAGTGCCCATATCCTGTTAGATGTCTATTAGATGTTTGAGGGGTGCACAAGAAGTAAAATGCCTTTAAGAGCCTTTTACTCCAGTGGGTAGATTGTTCCATACATATACATGAAAGAACTAAATGCTGAAATGATCCAAAATCCTATAGATAGCTAGAAAAGGGGAAAAAACACATAAGGAGATATTAGTATGAACTGAGTGTGAGTAGAATTATGTTTCTGGGAGGACTGTTCTAAGACTGAATTTATACTTTCACTTAGATTCCATAGTCTTCAAAATAGGACTTATTTGGCTATTTTTTAAAAATAAATTTTAAACCTACATTAGCAGGCAAATAAGGAAACGTGTGCTTAGCTTCACTTAAAAATTTGTTGGAAATGGTTTTACAACTAAGCAATCTTCAGAATTTTAAAGCCAATGCACAAAGACTTAATAAAATGCAAGCAAAACTCCATGAAGCAGTTTTGAAACTCTACATCTTAAGTGGCATTGCACCAAATCCTTATAAGTTGTTCAAATGAAAAATAAGTTTTTCTAACACTAGCTTTGTAAATACTTAGTTATCAAGGCAAGAAAGCATGAGATTCACCTTTAAGTGTATACCATCTTTAAGTTTTGCTTCACAAGTAACCTGTCCCTGAAAAGGAAAGGAGGAAGAGGGAACTTGGGGATTTATAGTTATCAATTATTACCAAAACATTATTAATACCATTATTGCCCTTAGTCATACCCTGGGTCCTCTGGCAGTGATAAAGAGTAAAATCATAGGATAAGGGATGGAGTTGGGAGATGAAGGAGGCAAAAATATTTGGGTAAAAGAGTCATTTTATATGAAAGAAAAACTGAAATATGTAGTTTAAGATAATAAGTATTTTAATGTAAACAAACTCCTAGCAAATTACACTGTTAGTGAATATAGCTTATCTTCAACTTAAGTACTGTTTATAAAACAGTAACAATTTACACAAAGGCAAGTTGGACTAAATATTCTGGCATTTAGAAAATAAAACTTAATCTGCTAACATACCACTACCTTTCTCATATTCTATTCAGATAGAAATTTGGTATTTATGGGTATTATAGAGGTCACCTCCAAAAGATAGAAAGTGACACTTAAGCATGAAGGCCCTGTTCCTTTCCTCTGTATTTTCATAGCCATCACTGTAAAACAAGTGCATTTTAAAGCATGTGCTTATAATACAACTAATATATTTAGAGCTACGTAAGTTATGAACCAAAATCAGTGTTGACATTATTGGTCCTGAAAATATTTAAAGTCAATATTGACATCTCCCTTCCTTGTTACAAAAATTAGTTTGGAATGCAGGCAGTGTCAATCTGAAAAAGATGAAGAAACTGAAGATTTTCTTGGGAGAAAGTATAACTATAACCATAATGGCTACAAATTTAGTTTTAATTTTTCATCATCTATTCTTAGTACAAGGACAAAAGGAGTCAAATCAATCTTTTTAAAATTCCAAATGCTCTCTTTAATATATTATGTAATGAACCCAACAAGAAAAAGAAGGTATTACTTCAATTTTATTGTCTGATCAATTCATCAAATAAATACTGAAATATGGCTTGATAGATAACCTCCACATACTTAAAGAACTCAAGTTGTGGCCTCTTGTAAGAAATTCTGGGATACTTACACCGTCACTGGGTAGTATAATCTAGAACTTAATATTAGAGTAACTTACAGTTTGACTGCAACTTTCCCTGCTTTGGCCACAAAGCCCATGGAAAACAGGACCAGTTGTAGACAGAAACTATGTCCACAGAGTGTTCATATTGTGTAAAGTGCTCACTTTGTTGAGAGTTTCAGGTAGGAAGTGTTCCTAGCAGAGCAGAGCCATCACTCTTTCCTCAAATAAAGAGTAAAAGACATTCCAAGCACAAATGTTTGCCACATCCCTTCATGTCACAACCCAGAAGGTGTTAGGTACAAGACTATTATGAAAGTTTCTACATATAGTTAGCAAAATGCTGCCATATGGTGAGCTACTCCTAAAGATTCAATTGAACATTTTAGGGAAAGTGTTAAACACCAGTAGCTACCAAGAGTACAAAGACTAAAGGTATTGCTTTAATTATACTGTCATGTGTCATGAGGTTAACTCCTTAAGATAAGGACTATTCCTTTCACGTTGTCAGTGTTACTTCCCTAGTGAGCTTGTGACCTTTTAAAGGCAGGAGCCTTGTTTTATTCCATATATGCCGTCAACACTAATTAACAATATCAGTACATAGCAGGTGCTCAATAAATATTTGTTGAACAAAATTTAAAAGTTCTTTCAGTTTCTGTATTAAACAACTGAAAAGCAGAGTTATACCCCAAAAATCTGCTGGAAATAGGATACGGATCTGAGTTTTGAGTATTTCAGATTCCCATGGCACACTCTTCTCTTATTCCGATAACAAGAAGCTTAGAGAATAACTGCTCTAAGTTATCCACTGTTCACCAGAGCGCCCTTTGTTTTCTAGCCTCTGGTTGAGTGGGAACTTTTCCAGCCCTGTAACTACAAGAAGCAAGGGTTTGTGTTGAGTATACAGCAACCTCCCAGAGGAAGGGAGGAGAATTTAAAATATCAGGTTTTCTTCCTATGAATACACCGCACAGAAGTTACCCACAGGGCTCAGTTGTGCAAAAGAGGCACACTGCTATTTTGACAGAAGATTAATGTACACAGTTCCCAACCCAACATCAGGATGAGAACATTCACATCTCTGTGTACGTTCCTAATATGCTCATATTTACAAGTGCAAAGCATAAGGGGTACATTTTCAAGTTGCATTTTAATTAAGCTCCAAAACATCTTCCAAAGAGTTTCCTTACATTTTCCTCCAAACTTGAAGACATTTACAAATTGGAATAAATACAAAATGTGTCACCTCTA
Organism: Homo sapiens; assembly: GCF_000001405.40. Taxonomy (NCBI): domain Eukaryota; kingdom Metazoa; phylum Chordata; class Mammalia; order Primates; family Hominidae; genus Homo; species Homo sapiens. The sequence goes on along the minus strand of NC_000012.12, from coordinate 27,953,738 downwards.
AAAAAATGGATTGTTTTAACGGTGACTACTCCCTGCCAAATCTACATTGCTTTGGGGTCTGAAGAGTAAAACAGTCCATCCATCTTTCATTTGAGTAAAGTAATTGATGGTCACAGCTCACTGGGTTGTCATTACAAAGCTGCTGGGAAGTAGCTCTGATGAGTTCTATGTTCTACAAAATAAATGCAAAACCATAACAAACCATGCCACATTAAATTTGGTAACCGTATATGCGCATTACTCTTTCTTCCATTCGTCAGGGGTTTTAGTAGAACCCTTGAGTCAATGTAGAATACTAAAGAATATATTAAAGAGATGTGTCATGGTTCTTCATAGGTGGAAGAAACTGAAAGCTAGCAGGTTTCCTTAGGGAGAATAGTGTTTTCTTCATATGACATAGTAAGAGATTCTTCATTGTCATCTTCCTCAATAATTAGAAATTGTGTTTTAGAGCAACATCTTTTAACATTAGAATAACTATTATGTCAGAAAGAATAAGTTAGTATAATACCTAGCCAACAAATAATAGAGCAAAGATTTATTGTTTTCTAATCTGATTTATACTATACTGTATCTCATTTAATCCTTCCAAGCATCCTGTGAGAAAGATATTCTTTGTCTCTATTTTACAGATGATGCAACTTTGCCAGAGACAGATTAGACAACTTGCCCAAGCTCATGAAGTTTGTAAGTGGCAGAGATGGGACTCACAGTAAGTTTCGCCTGACTTCAGAGTTTGTACTCTGTGCACCATAGCTTACAAATATTGCAGGAAAGCTCGGTTCAGAATAAACATCTTCTAGACAAAACTATTTTTGTCTTGTTGTCGGCAAGTTCAGGGCAATCACAGGTCCAAGACAATCCTGTTTTGCTTCAGTCCTCTATTTCCCGGTGAGGGCATCATTTTACCAGCTTCTGTCCTTCCAGGCATCTTGTAAGGCTGACTGCCACCTTAGATTCCACAAAGCTCTAAAATGCTCTCTTGCTCCCTCCCTCTCTCTCTCTCTCTCTCATACACACACACACACACACACAGCCAAGAAGCCCAGGTGTTTGCCCAGGCCCATGAATGGGCAGCTGTTGCTTTAAAAGGAGTGTGGCAGAGGAAGGCGAGGAAGCGCTGTCTGGCAGGCGGGTGTGTAAAGGTATACAGAGAGCCACTTTCTGTAAGAAGGCGAAAGCAGATTTAAAATGGGACCACCTCAGAGATGAAATCTTTCCCCTCCTGTTACCTCTCAACCTGCTCCAAAACTCCAATATTCAGTTTTTCGGCATCTCCCCCTCCCTCCCCCTTTCCCTGGGGTATGCTGATTTTCTATGTGAACACTTGGCACATTGCACAGCAGGTTTCCTCCTTCATTTAGCAGTCAGAAATAATTTCAGCAGTTCATGCTTTCTCCAACTAACAGAAGTGCGTGCCCACTCCCTGTGCACTGCCCACACAGGGGCCAGTAACAAGCGTGTCAACATTTCTTTTCAATGGGTTTTCATCTCTAGATTGGCTTTTGGTGACTTATTTATTTTTAAATTACACGGAAAAGAGGAAAGAAAAGTTTTCCATTGGGATAGACTTGATTAGGGAAGAAGAACGCCTTTCATCATGGGAGGGCGCCCTGGGGAGAATAGGCCAGGCCTCATTTGAGTTTCAGCTTCTTTCCATTTAGAAAGAAATCAGCTTGCGTAGGGGGTGAAGATCAGACACCACCTTATAGAGGCGCTAGCTTGACTTGTTTTGAAAGCATTGTCAACTCAAGCTGCTTGAGTTCTCCCCAGATTTCCCTCCGAGAGTCTGAAACTTCCTACCTTTTAAAAATCTGTTCTCTATTCTTTCATTTTCATAGCTCTCAATCCAGTTGTCAAGAAGTCTGCCCTGCTCCAAGTTGTCTTTCCATTTTACATTAAGTGAATCTTTTAAAGAGATGCCCAACTAAGTATATGTTTTATGGCCCAGAGGAAAACACAGGCCTTAGGCTAATGGCTGGATATACTTTATTGACTCTTCGAATGGGGGAAAAATATATTTTTACCTTTTACTATGGTAAAAGACCATGTTCCTAAAATTGACTAGTTCTCATTACGGGTCTCCTTGTCCCACATTTTCCAAGAATCACACAGATTCATCTGCCCCAAGCAATGAAGGCTACCCTGTGAACCTAAAGGCAGATTAAGTTATATTGCTCCCATGGAGAACTACTATGCTGCTTGTCTAACTCTCTCCTGATATCACATGTGCTGTGGTGTCACCATTAAAAGGCAATTCGGAGGAGAAGTAATTCAAAACAGTTCATGTTAAAGGATAGGCAGTCTTGATTCCACAGTTTGATTGTGAGGCCTGTAGTTCACATACAGCCTGGTCTTTCTGGACCTTGTACTGAAAATACAATTGCTGGCTGTGTGCAGTGGCTCACGCCTGTAATCCCAGCACTTTGAGAGGCTGAGGCCGATAGATCACTTGAGGTCAAAAGTTTGAGACCAGCCTGGCAAACATGCTGAAACCCCGCCTGTACCAAAAAATACAAAAAAAAAAAAAAAATCAGCTGGGCGTGGTAGTGCATGCTTGTAGTCCCAGCTACTCGGGAGGCTGAGGAAGGAGAATCACTTGAACTCGGGAGGCAGAGGTTGCAGTGAGCCAAGATCTCACCACTGCACTCCAGCCCTGCTGACAGTGAGACTCTGTCTCAAAAAAAAAAAAACAAAAAACAAAAAACAAAAAAAAAAAAGAAAAAGAAAAAAAAATTCCCACAATTGCTTATTTTATCTTTTCTTATTCCCTATACATTTTTAGCCGTTGTTTCTTATTGAGTTGATGTTTTTCCTTGAGAGTTGGCCCAGCAGCTGCTTACGGTCTAATAAGTATGTGTCTCATTGGTTGGGAGTAACTAGATGCCCTGAAAAACATCTTATTCGTTAGAATTGTAAGTTCCATTTGCTTGCATTCAACATAGACTGTAGTTTAATGCAAATCCCAGTTCCTATCATCTTTTGCTGTTTGCTGTTTTTTTACTGTAATTACAATGTAGTTTACTGTAGTTATAATAGCAACAATTCATCATGCTTGTTTAGTGTTACTATAGCCAGCCACCACAGAAATAGTATCTCTGTAGAACCAAAATTAACCTTGAGTAATTTATAATACAAATCCCCAAATCCAAGTTTCTAATGTTTTACATACATGCAATATATTTCGTAGCAATAAAATTACAGGGCTTTTCTGCTAGCTGAGAACTAAGAGCTGTAGAAATGGTTCAAGGCTATGTATGAGCAACATAAAGGTAGGGACACTTTTCTATTGCTCCAGAGGAAATCCACATGGCAGGTGCACTATTCAACATTCATCTCATACACTTAATAAATGTCTCTCATGTGTTAGGTCCAGAGAACACAGAGACAACTGAGGCGGAGACCCTATTTCCAGGAACCAATACATTACCTGTGGTAACTGAATTTGGGTAAGCTTTCTGCTGGTGCCACCTGGAATTACAAGGGGAAACATTTCTCTCTCAAATACTACATCCCTTGTTTAGTGAACACATGTTGTTTGTCTGCCTGGTGTAGGCAAAATATTTGTGCTTCCAGTTGAAAACTATGCAACTATACTCTAGAGGAAACCCCTCTGGGTTATCAGATTCTGACACTGTGGGAGGTATTTACAACTCTGTGACTTTTAGGTAACCAATAGGAATGCAAAGTGATTTTTGTCTGTAATTTTTTCCTATTTGGTAAAGGTTTGATTGATTTCTTTCCCACTCACTCTGGAAAAAATAATTTTGCCCCCATTTGGACATTTATTTCAATATCCCTAAATCAGTTTCTTTTTTGAACGAGTTGCAACATTGGTTTTCTCGTTGATTAGTGAATATAATAAATCTTTTATATATGCTTATTTACACATCTGTATCAGTCATGATTTTACTTTTTTTCTTTTCTTTTTTTTTTTTTTTTTTTTAGACGAAGTCTTGCTCTGTCGCCCAGGCTGGAGTGCAGTGGCGCAATCTCAACTCACTGCAAACTCTGCCTCCCGGGTTCAAACGATTCTCCTTTCTCAGCCTCCTGAGTAGCTGGGATTACAGGCACCTGCCACCACACCTGGCTAATTTTTGTAGTTTTAGTAGAGACAGGCTTTCACCATATTAGCCAGGCTGGTCTCAAACTCCTGACCTCCGGTGATCCGCCCACCTCAGCTTCCCAAAGTGCTGGGATTACAGGCATGAGCCACCATACCTGGCCCATGATTTTACTTTTTTTTTTCTTTTTTTTCTTTTTTTGAGACACAGTTTCACTCTGTTGCCCACGCTGGAGTACAGTGGCGTGATCTCAGCTCACTGCAACCTCTGCCTCCTGGGTTCAAGCGATTCTCGTGCCTCAGCCTCCAGATTAGCTGGGATTACAGGCACGTACCACCATGCCCGGCTAACTTTTGTATTATTAGTAGAGACAGGGTTTCACCATGTTGACCACGCTGGTCTCGAACTCCTGAACTCAGGTGATCTGCCCTCCTCGGCCTGCCAAAGTGCTGAGATTAGAGGAGTGAGCCACTGCACCCAGTCCCCCATGATTTTACTTTTTAAAAAATTATATTTTATTAGCAGTTATCTTCCACTTGATAGGTCCACTCTTTTTCTCTAAACCATGTGTGTTTCAGGGATAGGAGAGTTAATGCAACCTTCCAGTCCACAAAGTGGGAAATGACCCAAACTTGGTCAGAGAACTCCATTATCCTTAACCATAATGATGGTTCAGGGATGAGCACGTAATCAAATTAGCCAATCAGAATTTTCCCTAGACTTTTCTGCTGAGCATAATGAGAATGATCATCCTGTTTCCTTCACAATCTTGAATTGTATGAAAAATGTTGGCATTTTTCTTGTTCATCGTCTCCCCAGCTGGTTGAAGGAGGCTGTCCAGGATAACAGGGAAAGAAGCTGAGTTACAAAGAAAAGCAGAGACGAGAGAGGAAAAGATAACCCTGACACCATGGCTTATGCCCTGGATCCACCTTGTTTTAGTCAGTTCATGCTCCCATAACAAACGACCATATACTGAGTGGCTGAAACAATACGTATCTATTTCTTACAGTTCTGGAGGCTGGGAAGTCTGAAACCAGGGTGCCAGCATATTTGGATTCTGGTAAGGGCCCTCTTCCAGATTACAGCCAGCCAGCTTCACCTTGTATCCTCACATGGCAGAAAAAAGGCCAGCTCACTTTCCCACCTCTTCTTATATGGGCATTTATCCCATTTATGAGGGCTTCATCCTCATGACCTAATTGCCTTCCAAAGGCCCCACTTCCTAATACCATCACACTGGAGATTAGGGTTTCAATATATGAAAAAAGGAACAAAACATTCAGTCCATTGCACACCCATTCCTAAAGTTTTTAATGATATGAGGCGGGCAGGGATGAGAGAGGAGCAATCTCCTTGCTCATAACATAGTTTGGTTGGGCTCTGTTACTTGGATCAAAAGGCTCTGAACAACAAGCTTGACTTCTGACTTTTTCTGACTTTCACTTCTTCACCAACAGCACCTATGTACTTCAGAGTTCTGTGAGTGCCCAAGCTGCACTAACAGATCATTTTGAGACCACAGAGATAAGCAGGATAAAGAGGGAACGACACACTATTCACATATATTAAGACAGATTTAAAGCATCAGGTAGTTTCTCCTGGGTTTCTTGTTACCAAACTCCTTCCAAGTCTTCTCTGGCAGCTGCTCCCTGGGATCATAGTTCTTTTTTCATCATTCTGAACTACGACATCATGAAGCACTGTCTACCCCTCTCCCCAGCCCAACAAAACGGGATAGGCGCCCCACTTACATGTTCCCATAGCACCCTGCAAAATGGAATCAAGACCAAGAAATACAAGCCAACCATGAGTGCCTTTTCAAATCAATTCTCTTAGATGTTTGTGTAGAGGAGAAGCCATATACTATGTGGGGGAAGAGTAGAGAGGGAGCTCCTGAGGCAGCCAGCAATTAGCTTCTCTTCTGTGGCCTGTGAAAAGTTTCCCTCTAGCATCAGATTTGAATCTCCAGTTCAGCAAAAGAAAAGCCCTGAAGATTACCAGCCTCTATCTCTTTAGAAAGGAATTTAATGATCCATAATTGCTATTCAAGCATGCTTCTTGGAGCTCTCCCCTGCTCGCCACCCTCCTCCAAAATGCTTATCAAAATAGTATAATTGTAATTCCCCTGAGTTTTAGAAACGCAACTCACTCCATTCTGTGCATGTTCAGTCCGCCCCTTCTGTCTAGCTCTGGCTCTCTGTATTTCCCCTAGAGACTCTCTTTACACTGATGTTAATTACCTGCCTACTTGTTTATATCCTGATGGACTGTAAGCTTCATGAGAACTGTATCTTTTATTCCACCACCAGCACATGGCATACCCTGGCCAGTATCAAATGCTCAACAAGAATTTGTCGAACGGGTATGAATTGTTGCCTCTAGATTTTAAGCTTCCTAAAGGCCAGGGACTTATCTACCTCACCTGTTTTATTATAGTTTCATCGGAGTGCTGCCTGGTGCCTGATATTATATAGGTATGTATGTATGTGTGTATATAATCATTATTGTTGTTATCCCTCTTGACATTCGCACAGAGAGTCTCTGACAAGCCACCCTCCTGATTATGGGCACTTATTACCTGGGTTCTAGAAGCCACCTCCCTCAGCATACCCACGTGTTCACTCACCATTGCATTCAACTCACTCCACCCATTCAACAAATATGGTTTACTTGTTTTCAAATAGATTATATAATATTTACTGGTACATAAATTGTGTTTGTAGGACTGTAATTTCCAAAGTTACTCCTTTTCTCTTTTTGTTTTCCTTGTTCATCATTTTGACCACATCCTCTCATGAGCTTACATTGATTTCCTATTACACTTTGAATCAAACACAATTTTCCGAGTATTTCTTTCAAAAGCCTCTCCCAGCTTGACCCGCCCTCTTTGTTTTCATCTCCTACTGTAACCTAGCCTTCACCTTCCACACCAACTAAATTTATTGTCATGTGGTTCCTTCCACTGGTTCTTCCTCTCCTGGCTGTGAGCCTTTGCTCAATTTTTTCCATATCTATGGAACAACAACCAAACCACAAGTTTCTCCTCTTTAAATCACAGCTCAGGGACCAGCTGCTTCAAGAAGTTTTTCCCCACCCATCTTCCAATCCATCAGATCATCACTGACCCAGACTTCTACCACCACAAAACCTTGAAGTGACTAAATTTATAAGTATGGTGTGGCTATAGTCCAACTTCTGGCTTACATTACTACCAAAGGCCTAATATCAGTATCAATCAATGTTAAATTTGGAAACAACCAAAACAAATGTCCGATATAGTTATTAAATCAGCACTGTAAAATTTAGTATTTTTGAGTGAAGACAATTAGGTAGTATATTTCATTTGAGTTTAATGAATGTATTCTCTGCCTTGTTCTACAAGGGATTTGAGAGATATTACAATAACAACACAAAATTGTTACAATGACAATTAAAACTAAATAAATACCAGGATCAAGGAAAACATGGATGGAATAAAATAGCAAGATTATGGAGAAAATTGGAATGTAAATATCAGGCCATAACTCCATGGATATTAAAGCCAAACTGCCCATTTGTTTCTGATCTTCTTGGCACTAAGATTATTAATTACTAAGCCCTATTTTTTAACTCAATTTTTAAAATTAATTTATCCTCTGAGTGAGTGTGAAAATTATCAGGTGATTGGTACTCTTTGGAGTTGATGCAGTAGTATAACACAGATTGGTGTTTCCAAAACTGTTTTGTATAAAACATAGTCACAAAAGACATGGCATAAAAAGGGGTTCCTGTGTTCAGCTTGAAAGGCTTTGAGCTGTCATGAAGAAAATAACCCCATTTTACTTTATTAAAATCAGTATTTCTCAAACTAACTTGAGCCCAATCCCCCAAACTTTTCCCCACATAATACCTGTCAACAGTCCATGGAAGTAGCTTCCAAGTGGCTCACTTAGGAAAAAGTTTTTAGTGTTGGGCAATAATAAAGAAATCAGAACCAAAACACCTTAAGATGCTTCTGTTTGTAACATTCTATTTATTTTATTTATTTATTTATTTATTTATGAGACGGAGTCTCACTCTATCACCCAGGCTGGAGTGCAGCAGCGTGATTTCAGCTCACTGCAACCTCCACGTCCTGGGTTCAAGCGATCCTCCTGCCTCAGCCTCCTAGGTAGCTGGGATTACAGGTGCCCACCACCACGCCCAGCCAATTTTTGTCTTTTTAGTAGAGACAGGGTTTTGCCATGTTGGCCAGGCTGGTCTCAAACTCCTGGCCTCAAGTGATCCACCCGCCTCAGCCTCCCAAAGTGTTGGGATTACAGGCATGAGCCATCGTGCCTGGCCTGCAACATTTTATTTCTTAAGCTGAGTGGTGGATATAGAGATATTCATTATACACTTCCATATATTTCTTGACGTGTTCAATGTGTTTCCTAATTACAATTACAAAAGCAAAATAACATCAACGACAAAATCATCCCCCTCGTAGAACTCTAGGTCCCAGCAGCTTACAGAGAGCACTGAGCAGACTGAACGGGGTGCTAACTTTAACCATGTAATGGCCTTGATTGTGTGCCTTATTTACTATTTGGAATAATATTATTGCAGTGACAGTAACAGCAGCAGATGCTTACTGAGTACTTACTGTGTGCCAAGCAATCTTCTCCAGGGTCTACTTCTATTAATTCATTTCATCCTTATAGCACCTCTCTGCATCAGCACTAGCATTATGCTCATTTTACACATGAGGAAGGTGAAGCATAACAAGGTGTAGTAATTTGCTGCAGGAAATGGCAGCGTTGGGATGTGAGTCCCAGCAGTCGGGATCCTGAATCTGCCTATTTCACTACTGCCCTATACTGTTTAAATCCTATTTTATGTAGGGTGGTCAAGGAAGACTTCCCTGATATGGAAACATCTGAGCAAAGGCCTGAAGGAAGCAAGGGAAAGAGGCATGTAGGGAATAGCATTCCAGGCAGAAGGAAGGTCAAGCTGATGTCAGTGAGGTAGGTGTGTGCTTGGTGAGTCTCGAGAACTCTCTGACATATGCAACCCTGCAGAATGAAAGCCCTTCCTCTCTCTCCAGAATCCATTTTATGTTCATTTATCTGCTATTTTTAGTTCCCTCAACACGCCTTTCATTCTCCCACCTCTAGAACTCTTCCTCCCTGAACACTCCTCCCCAGCCTTCCATGTGCTTTCCTTTGTCAGGCTAACTTCTCTGGGCCTCATCTTACTCACATCTTCCATTATGTCTTCTTTGAACTCGCTGTTTCTCAAGTAGTGAGCCCCATAGCTCTGTGCTTTTCCTCCCGATAGCTAACATTTATTAGGTTCCCCCTCCGGCCCCCACCACCATGAGACAGGATTATGTTAAGAACTTGGCTGGCATCATAGCATGTCAATCCCATAAGAACCCAAATATAATAGGTTTTGTTAGTGCCTCCATTTTCTGGATAAGAAATCTGCGGCTTGAAGGTCAAGCAACTCACCAAGGTTACAAAGCAAGAGCCTGAGTCTAGATAATGCCAAAATCCCTGTTCTAAGCATTCTGTCCAGCACTTATCACACTGTTCTGTGATTGTATGTTCACATAGCTGTCACCCACTAAGCTCCTTAAAGCAAGGACTGTGTCATGTTCCCTAGTGTCTGGAATGGTTTCTGCCACATAAGTTGAATAAACATGTGCTGAATCAATGAAAGGAACATAGCAGCTCTTTGCATGAGCGGAGCATCCCTGTTCTCAGCATCACCAAATCTGGGTGAGAACACTTGGATCTGAGGCTTAATTCTGATGTTTAGCAACTGTGCCTGCACCATTCACACCCTCTTTCTTCAGCCAGACCACACCACGTATTTCAGATTCTGCATTTCTGCTCACTCCATATTCTCTATCCATCAAGCTTCTCCTGACCAGCCTCAATCTTTGATAAGAGCCTCATATACTAGCCAGATGCAGTGGTCCACACCTGTAATCCCATCTCTTTAGGATATTAAGGCAGATGAATCACTTGAGTTCAGGAGTTCGAGACCAGCCTGGGCAAAATAGTGAGACTTCATCTCTACAAAAAATACAAAAATTAGCCAGGTATAATGGTGCACACCTGTGGGTCCTAGCTACTCAGGAGGCTGAGGTGCAAGGATCACTTGAGCCTGGAAGGTCAAGACTGCAGTGAGCTGAGATTGTGCCACTGCACTCCAGCTTGGGTGACAAAGTGAGAAACCTATCTCAAAAAAAAAAAAAAAAAAAAAAAAAAAGAGACTAATATACTGACTCAGAGATATATTGATTGTCCGGGACAGTCTCTCCAAAAATCCAGAACTTTGCCAACATATCGCCTTCAAGAACACTCCATAGACAATTCCTTATTCTCTACTCCTGACTCTGAGCTGTTCCCTGCATCTCTCTGATTTTTGTACCATATATTGTTTGGTATCCAAATAACATACCATATATTGTTTGGATCTGATTTGTACCATATATTTTAAACTTATTATGACTACATAACATCATAAAAGATTCCTCAGTTGTTCTATTTCTCCAATCATACAACAACATGGTGGACAATAATCAATTCTTTAAAGAACTTAAATGATATTTAAAAGGCTTGTTTATAGAAATGATTCTCAGTAAACTATCGCAAGAAGAAAAAACCAAACACCGCATATTCTCACTCATAGGTGGGAATTGAACAATGAGATCACATGGACACAGGAAGGGGAATATCACACTCTGGGGACTGTTGTGGGGTCGGGGGAGGGGGGAGGGATAGCACTGGGAGATATACCTAATGCTAGATGACGAGTTAGTGGGTGCAGCGCAGCAGCATGGCACATGTATACATATGTAACTAACCTGCACAATGTGCACATGTACCCTAAAACTTAAAGTATAATAAAAAAAAAAGAAAAAAAATGCTAATTCAAGAGTTATTAAAGCTTTACCTAGCACTCATGTATGGGAAGTGGTTTTAAATATTATAGAGTATGAACAGTTTTTGAGATATGTAATATTTGGATTTGAATTTTTGCTTACGTCTTTTTAATTAAAACTTTACAGTGTAACAGGTCATGCTCTGGATCAAACTCATTTTGTTTCTATTCTGAACACTGTAGAATCCATATCTAAGGAAGAACAGGCTGTGAGATGCATATGTGATAGTAATTTCTTCAAAATAACAACTAAATAACAAAATAACTCCTAAGTAAACATTTCTAGAAATAGATCATTACACACACACACATCACACGTTTTAAAGAAATCACACCAAGCTTGGTGCAGTGGCTCACATCTGTAATCCCAGCACTTTGGGAGGCCGAGACAGGCAGATCACAAGGTCAGGAGTTCATGACCAGCCTGGCCAACATGGTGAAACCCCATCTCTACTAAAAATACAAAAATTAACTGGGCATGGTGGCACACGCCTGTAGTCCCAGCTACTCAGGAGGCTGAGGCAAAAGAATCGCTTGAATCCAGGAGGCGGAGGTTGCAGTGAGCCAAGATCGTGCCACTGCACTCCAGCCTGGGTGACAGAGCAAGACTCCATCTCAAAAAAAAAGAAAGAAATCACACCACTGATCTGGTGAAAGTTATTAAGATATTAGAGTACTATGATGTTGTGATAATTACAGACCTTTTTCACTAGCATAGCTTCTCTTCATTTGTAATATTGCCTAAGAGTGAGCATTTCTTATGTACTGAGCACTGTCAAGGGCATTGTATGCATTATTTCATTGAATTCTTCAAAACCCCTCTGAAGTAGGTAAGGTGATTGTCTCATTTTGCAGATGAAAACCATTAAACTCATTGATTCAAAGAACATGTGCCCAGAAAGGTCATGTCAGAATTGGAAGCAGACAATCTGAGTCCAGAGCCTCTGCCTTTCCTAAAATATAGATTAATTCATAAATTCAGATATCATTAGGGAATTTAAAAAGTCAAAAATTTTGCTACATAGTCTTTACAATTGACAAATAGGAAAAAGAAAGAAGAAAAAAAACCGATGCATAAGGTAAGATGTTGAAATTTCTTACATTAATTTAATATGTATGGTCTATTTGTCTTCTGGAAAAAATAGCATTTCCCATTAATTATAAAATAGTTCTAAATTATGGAATAAAATACTTGCTTCATGCCATATGATTTAAAACTTATTCATTAGCAAGCACCACAGATTTTCTTATATTCAAATATTATTTTTTCTCAATGTCAACATATACCACTTTTAAGCCTAAGGACTATTTGATCATCACTTTGAGAAGTTTCTTGTTGCAAAATAACAGGTTGGCAAAGAAAATACTGAATTTGCCAACTTAAAAATGTTAGTCATGATATTTATGTCTAAAGTTCATCATTCGTTTTGTAAAACCTCTAGTGTCTTTTCATTATTATTAAATATTGAAGTTTTCTAAAAACACAAACCAACAAAAATTTTGGTATGAATTATGCCACATTAATATAAAATTTCCAGAGCTTCAAAAGTTTTTTTTTTTAAACCACATAAAACAGAGCTGGAAGATATTTTAAAAGGTCACAAGGTTCATCCTCAACCACTTGCAATCAAGACTAGTATCTAAGAGACACATTTTAAGATTGTTTACTAGAATAATTTCAATCATATTCATAAATTGTGCTCTGATTATTTAACATGAAACATGTTACTGGCATACTCTTAAATTCAGCTGACAGCCTGGGAGTGACCACGAGGTGGCAGCACAGGAGACACTCAGCCTTGAATTCAACTTGTACTCCCCTGACTGGAGGAGTAAGCCAGAGAAAGGTAGGTATAGAAGAAGACGCAACACTCTCCTTTCTCTTAGAACTTTCAGATTGTGTGGCTTTGCTGGCCATTCCATTTATGGGTTAGAGGAGCCAAAAACAAGAATTACTTTTTTAATGGAGGAAAATATCACCTATAAGCTCATTCCTTTTCACGTTTTCCTTCATAGGCATGTTTTTGCGTAGTTGTTGTACATATAATTTTCTGGTCTTCTAATCTATTTTACACTGTTTCTGTTTTCCTGCTTTAAAATTTCAATGGATGGCTGGGCAGTGTTTCAGGCCTGTAATCGCAACACTTTGGGAAGCCACGGCAGAAGATCTCTTGAGGCCAGGAGTTCAAGACTGGCCTGGGCAACATAGCAAGACCTCATCTCTACAAAAATTTTAAAAATTAGCCAGGGGCAGTGGCATGTGCCTGTAGTCCTAGCTACTCAGCAGATGGAGGCAGGAGAATCACTTGAGACCAGGAGTCCCAGGACGCAGAGAGCTATGATTGCGCCACTGCACTCCAGCCTGGGCAATGGAGCAAGATCCTGTCTTAAAGAAACTTTTTCAAAAAATGTCAATGGCTTCTCCCTGCTCTTCTCAAATGGCCCTTGATGGTCCCTCCAGCCTTTTCTTTTCCAAAGTGATCTCCCTGCAGACCACAGGACATGGCACAGTGAAACACACTCAATTCATATTTATTGAAGTTTTCATTTTTTAAAAATTATTGTGGCAAAAAAATAAGGTTTTCTATCTTAGCCATTTTAAGAGTGCAGTTTAGTAGTGTTAAGTATATTCACATTGTTCTACAACAGATCTCCAAGACTCTTTCGCCATGCAAATCTGAAAGTCTATGCCCATTAAACAATTCCCCTTTTCCTCCACTACACCCACCAGTCCCTGGTAACCACGATTCTACTTTGTTTCTGTGATTTTGACTACTTCAAATACCTCACATAAGTGGAATGATATGATACTTGTCTTTTTGTTACTGGCTTTTTTCACATAATATTATCGGGGTTTATCTATGTTGTAGTATGTGACAGAGTTTTATTCTTTTTTTTTTTCTTTTTTTTTTTTTGAGACGGAGTCTCGCTCTGTCGCCCAGGCTGGAGTGCAGTGGCGTGATCTCGGCTCACTGCAAGCTCCTCCTCCCGGGTTCACGCCATTCTCCTGCCTCAGCCTCCCAAGTAGCTGGGACTACAGGCGCCCGCCACCACGCCCGACTAACTTTTTGTATTTTTAGTAGAGACGGGGTTTCACCGTGTTAGCCAGGATGGTCTCGATCTCCTGACCTTGCGATCCGCCAGCCTCGGCCTCCCAAAGTGCTGGGATTACGGGCGTGAGCCACCATGCCCGGCTGTTTTATTCCTTTTTGAGGCTGAGTAATATTCCATTGTATGGATTTACTGTGTTTTGCTTATCCTCCATCCATTCATGGACATTTGGATTGCTTCTATCTCTTGGCTACTACGAATAATGCTGCTATAAACATGGATGGGCAAATATCTCTTTGAGATCCCTCATTTAGCTTTTTTGGATGTATACTCAGAAGTGGGATTGCTGGACCATATGGTACTTCTATTTTTAATTTTTTTAGGAAGCTCCATACTATTTTCCATAGAGCTACATCATTTTAGTTTCCCACCAACAGTGCCCAAGGGTTCCAATTTCTCTTCGTCCTTACCAATCTTGTTACTTTTGGGGTTTTGTTTGTTTGTTTGTTGAAACAGGATCCCACTACATTGCCCAGGCTGGTCTCAAACTCCTAGCCTCAAGCTATCTTCCTCCTACCTTTGAGTCCCAAAGAGCTGGGATTACAGGCATAAGTCACCACACCCGGCCTACTTTTGTTTGTTTGTTTGTTTGTTTGTTTGTTTTCATAATAGCCATCCTAACAAGTATGAGGTAATATCTCATTGTGTTTTTGATTTGCATTTCTCTGATTAGTAATATTAAGCATTTTTTCATATGTTTGTATGTCTTCTTTAGAGAAATGTCTATTCAAGTCCTTCATCCTTTTTAAAATCAGCTTGTCTTTTTGTTGTTAAGTTGTACAAGTTCTTTATATTTTCTAGATATTAACACCTTATCAGATATATGATTTGCAAATATTTTCTCCCATTCTGTAAGTTACCTTTTCACTCTGTTGATTGTGCCCTTTGATACACAGAAGTACCAATTTTTTTTAAAGAAATGACTTGGCGTTCACAATTACCATTCTTTGCGGCAGCCACATCATACTTCCACTCAGCAAATAGTTACATCTAAATTGAGTTAACCATTCCTCTGTTATAAAACATTTCCTATTCTGGATAATTCCACTAAAATAGTTTTGTGAGTATAATTTTTTTCCTTGTCTTAATGGTTATTTTCTTAGAATATATTTCCAGAAGTAAAATTACTGGATCAAATAATATGAACATTTTATAGTTTTTGATACTTGCTAAATTTTTCTTATTAATTTCCATGACCAACTATAATATTCAAACAGTCACTGTTTATTGAACTCTTAGAATAAACTGAGTGCTTAGAATGTATCAAGGACTCAGCTACATTCTTTGCACATAGTATCACTTGTTCTCACATCAATGCTGCAAAGTAGGAAACATCACCATATTATGGTTAATAATATAGATTTACCCTTGTATTAGTTACCAAGATCACACAGCTTATAAGTGGCAGAATTATCATTTGATTTTAATTCTGCCTAATTCCAAACACCGTATGAATCTTTTCATGATACTACATTGCTTGTCTGTGTTTGAGAATATACCACTTTTACCTTTTCTTCACTCCAGTTTTGAGAATTGTAGTGTTTGCTAATTCAATCGAAGAAAAATAGATAATTGCTATTTTAAAATACATGCCTTTGATTACATGCACAGACGAATATTTTTCCACATTTTGTTTACTCTACTCCTTATTGTCTCCCTCCCCAACACCAAATGGATGTTTCCTGTCTCTGCACAACAGTATAGCACATAGCCTTTTCACAGTAAGGGTTATTACACAACTTTTATCCTGCCTTGAATTGTGCAACTTTCTCTTATTTTTTTTGTATCTTCTGCTTTATTTTCATATCTTATCAAATAATTTAACTTTTTCTAGAGTGAAGATATTCACCTTTTATCCAACATATTTGTTGCAGTATGTTCTTTGCCAATTTGTTATTTTCCTTTTTATTATTGTTTTCCTATTTACATCAAATAGTTCTTAATTTTTACACATCTAGTTTGATGTTGATCATTTACTTGGTGGTTTCTTCTATTGCTGCTTTGCATAGAAGTTTATTCTAGCTCCACTAATAGATGTCTGATTAATATTTCTACTTTCTTGTTAGTTTTTCTGTTTCAAACCAATTCTACTATTTAAATATTTAATCCCTCTAAAATTTATTTTGAATCATAATATAAATGTAAAGGTATCACTTTTTCAAAATTGTAAAGCAGATAGCCCCAATACCATTAATAATCTTCCCTTTCCTCACTATTCTGTAATGCCTTAATTATATATTAAAGTCATTTACATGAACTAATTAATTTTTAAGATAACTTTGTGATATAATTAGAATTAAAGTGTACAATTCAATGGCTTTAGTATAGTCACAGAGTTATGCAACTGTCACCACAACCTACTTCCAGAATATTTTCATTACCCCAAAAAGAAACCACACATCTCTTAGCAGTCACTCCCCATTATCCCCTTCTCCCAGCCTCTGGCAACCACTAATCTACTTTCTGTCTTTATAAATTTGCCTATTCTGGACATTTCATACAAATGGAATCATCCAATGTGTGGCCCCTTAAGACTGTTTCTTTTTTTTTTTTTTTCACTTATTTTCTTTCTTTCCCTTCAGGTTCATTCATGTTGCAGCACATATTAATACTTCATTGCATTTTATGGCCAAATAATGTTCCAATGTATAGATATACCACATCTTGTTTATTACAAATGTGGTGGTTGTTTCCACTTTTAGCTATTATGAATAATGCAGCTATGAACATTGGTATAAAAGGTTTTGTGTGGTATATATATTTTTTTTCTCTTAGTTATATACCTAGGAGCAGAATATCTGGTCATGAAGTAACTGTTTAACTATTCGAAGAACTTCCAAATTGTATTCCAAAGCTGCATCATTTTACATCCCCACCAACAATGTACAAAGGTTCCAATTTCTCTACATCCTCATCAACACTTGTCTTACTGTCTGTCCTTGATTATAGCCCTGCAAGTGAGCACGAAGTGGTATCTTGTTGTGTGTGTGTGTTTTGTTTGTTTGTTTTGTTTTTGTTTTTTGTAGTATATAATATTTAACATCTTCTCATGTTCTTACTGGCGGTTTGCATGTCTTCCTTGGAGAAATATCTATGCAAATCCTTTGCTCATTTTTTAATTTGGTTGTCTTTTTATATTTGAGTTGTAAGAGTTAGTTACATATTCTAGTTATAAGTCCCTCATCAGAGCTATGATTTGCCAATATTTTCTCCCATTCTGTGAGTCATCTTTTCACTTTGTTAATGATGTCCTTTAGAGCACAAATGTTTATGGTTTTTTTGTGTGTGGGTGGGGGTTTTCAGCCCCTCCCCTCTGATAATTCATCTGATTGGTGAATTTGGGAAATTAGCTGGACAAGTTCAGCTCAGCAACTTTCTTTCCGTATCTTTTGCGATCTGCCTGTTTGGCAGGGAGGTATTCCAGGCTACAATTTGCCCTATGATATAAGGGTCCTGCCTCCAGGAGGCAGAGGAGGGAAAAGACTCAAGTTTTTCTAACTGTGCCAGAGGCTGAGTATGTTTAATTCTGGGTTGAAGCACTGGCATTTAGCTCCAAAGCTAAAGCTGTGTTCTTTAAGCCATTGTATCAGTAATAAAGATCCAATTTTTGATTTAAAAAAGAAAAAACCTTCAGTTAAAAGTCTCAAAATATTATCTAGCCAGAAACTTTTGACTTCAAATATATTATATCTTATATATATAAATATCACATTAGAAAAATGAATGGAGTATGATAAAGTTGTAACAGGTCAAATTCTTGTCAGAATCTAAATTATTCTTCACTATGTTTTATTTGTAAATGTTTCATGAAACTGTAAATTCACAATGTGTGAATCTATAGCAATACAAAATTATGCTAACTTTTTAAAAAATGAAAATTATCTTCTCTTTTATGCTCAGCTTTGGTTGCAGAGAAAGATGAGCACCCATATTCAAGTTCCCTGGAAGGAGAGTCAAGGGAATTGTTGGAGGCCTACAGGTTCATGGGTCCCGAGCTACATCTGCTTTCCTTCTGTACATGGTTCATCCCCATGGATGTAACTGATAGCCCAAAGCACAGTTCCATTACTTACCACCTGTCCATCCTTCCCAGGCACAGAGGAGCTTCTACTATTAACTGATAAGATTGCTTAATAACAGAAAAGATGGGCCTATTTTTATTGGCCATAATCTTTGTTTTTTTACCTAGGTAATCAAGAAACTAGGTATACTTGAACAATTGTGAGGCCCTGATTGATTACTACTACTGAATGAACTCACCTGAGACACAGAGGTATAAGCCAGTACAGCATTTCCCACGAATATTCTATTGCATACTAGTTCCATTGGATATAACTAGCTATTGAGCAAACAAAGCTTCTATGGTCAAACAAGTTGGTTTATGCTGGATTTCTTTATCATTGGACTTCTTAGAACCTTTAATATGTGCTTTATGTGAGCCTCATAATCTCCAAGAGAGAATCTTAGTACACAGTATTCCCAAACTTACTTGACCCAGAACTTTTTTTAATAGACTTTATTTTTAAAAGAAGTTTTAGGTCCACAGCAAAATTGAGGGTGAGATGCAGAGATTTCCTATATCCCACCTGTCCCACACATGCACAACCTTCCCCATTATCAACATCCCCCACCAGAGTGAATCATTCATTACAATTGACGAGTCCACATTAACACATCATTGTCACACAAAGTCCATACTTTACATTAGAGTTCACTCTTGGTATTGTACGTTCTTAAGTTTGGACATATTTGTAATATATTCCCCCCATTACAGTATCACAGACAGTAGTTTTACTGCCCTAAAAAATCCTCTGTGCTCCATCTACTCATTCCTCTTTCCCTATTAAATAAACCCTGGCAAACATCAGTCTTTTACTGTCTCCACAGTTTTGCCTTTTCCAGGATGTCACATAGTTGGAATCATACAGTATGTAGCCTTTTCAGATTGGCTTCTTTTACTTAGCAATATGCATTTCAGTTTCCTCTGTGTTTTTTCAGGGCTTTATAACTTCTTTTTAGCACTGAATCATATTTCATTGTAAGGATGTACCACAGTTTATATATCCATTCACCTAATGAAGGACATCTTGGTTGCTTCCAAGTTTTGACAATTATAAATAAAGCTGCTATAAACATTTGTGTGCAGGGCCTTGTGTGGGCATAAGTTCTGAACTCATTTGTGAATACCAGGAGCATCTGCTGAATCATATGGTGAGAGTATGTTTAGTTTTGTAAGAAACTGTCAAACTGTCTTCCAAAGTGGCTGTACATTGCTGTACCAGCAATAAATGAGAATTCCTGTTGCTCTACATTCTCACCAGCATTTGGTGTAGTCATTGTTCTGGACTTCGGCCATTCTAATAGGTGTGTAGTAGCATCTCATTGTTGTTTTAATGTGCATCTCCCTGATGACATATGATATGGACGTCTTTTCCTATGCTTGCGTGACATTTGTATGTCTTCTTTGGTGAGATGTCTATTAAGGTCTTTGGCCTACTTTTAATAGAGTTTTTGCATTCTCGTTATTGAGTTTTAAGAGTTCTTTGTACATTTTAGATAGCAGTCCTTGATCTGATATGTCTGTAGCAAATATTTTCTCCCAGTCTCTGGCTTGTCTTTTCAATCCCTTGATCTGTGATCTAAGACAGTTTTATCTCTTGCTTTCCAATCTGTATACCTTTTCTCTCCTTTTCGGTTGGGGGTGAGGAGAGGGGTTCTTATTGCATTAGCTAGGACTTCCAGTACAATGTTTAAAAGCAGTGATGAAGTAAGGTTTTATTTTTATTTTTACAAAGAATAATGTATATATACATATATATATAATGTGTGTATATATATACATAACTTAGAAAAAGCCATTAACTGTTGGCTGTGGCCAGTTGTGGTTTTAGTTTTAATTGACAAGAAATATTCCCAAGGAGTGAACAGTATGATAACCCACAGTGGTGGGAAAAGATATACTGTTTAGGGAAAGCAATATTTTTATTACTCTCCTAGTACACATTATAGTTACTAAAGTTCAACAAATTCTTTGGGGGTGGGGAGATACACCAAATATAGAATGAGAAAACAGTAGAGTGAACATGTATTTAGCATCTCCCAAAAAATAAAAGTGAGAAACACTATTTTGGAGAATAATGTTGCATATTTCTCTAGCACTGTGCCCATATAAGCTCTAAAAGGTGTTAAGTAAATTTATACCATTTGCTGAGAACTGAGCAATGCAACCTGTTGCCTTTCAAATATACAGATCATTCTCCTACCACCAAAAAAACCACCTGTGCACAGTCTAGATCAGCACTTTCCATGGAAATAAAATATGAACCACATATAAAATACTTTACATTTAAAAAATGTAGCCACATTTTGAAAAACTAAACAGAAGCAGGCAAAATTCATTTTAATATATATTGGTTAATCCACTTTATCTAAAATATTACCATTTCAACACACAATCATTATAAAATGTATTAATGAGCTATTTTACATTCTTTTTTCATACTAAATTTTTGAAACTTTGTGTCCACCTCACACTTCCAGGACATCTCAATCTGGACTAGCCACATTTCCAGCATTCAGTAGCCACATGTGGCTCGTGGCTACCATATTGAACAGTGCTGGCGGAGGCCTCAGGAATCTTCTAGGCCAAGGAGCCACAGTAAGAGGGAAGGCAAGGGAGCAAAAGGAGAAAAGATGAAAACTGATAGAGGAAACAAATGGAGGGAGAGGAGGAGAAATGAATGAGAAAATAAGG
Organism: Homo sapiens; assembly: GCF_000001405.40. NCBI lineage: Eukaryota > Metazoa > Chordata > Mammalia > Primates > Hominidae > Homo > Homo sapiens. The sequence continues at coordinate 27,932,894 of NC_000012.12, read as the reverse complement.
CAAAGGTAAATGAAAGGAGAGAAAGAGGGTAAACATTTTCTGAACACTTGCTATGTGTCAGCCATTGAGTGTATTAGGAAGTGCCTAGATGCTTCCTGGCTTCTTGACAACAACCTTTAGCATCTTCTGGGTCCTTAAGTAAGAAAGTCACATTTGAAGTGGGCTACTATTACTAGTGATGATTCAGTAAGTTAGAAAAGTCCTTCAACACTAAGTCGTGGGAAAACATTATCTGGTTGACATGCCTGTAGGATGGAGACTAATCAGCCTCTAGCATGGAAAGGAAACCATTGAGAAGGCTGCGTTTGAGAGAATAAGAGTGCTCAAAGTAAACATAAATGATCCTTTTATTCATTCATTCAAAAACATGTATTGACTGTTTAGGATGTAGGGGCACACAGCCATGAGATGGGACCCTAACAGAACTTATGGTCTAGCCAGAAAGACAAATATTAATCAAATAATTGTGTAAATATTTATGGTGGCATAGCATAATAAATAACAGGAAGACAAAGTTCAAGGTGCAGTGAGAGCTTATAGAAAGTGAGTCTAACCTAATCTTGCAGGGTGGGGCAGGGGTGTCAAAGAAGGCTTTCCTGAAGAATTAGAGTTTGAGTCAAGATCTGTAGAATAAAGGAGGAATTCACAGAAGAAAGAGGAGAAAGGCAAGTCTACAGGACCTTCTCCTTCGTGGGAAGCGGGTGGTCTCCTTTCTGGTGGTGTCGTCCTGGGCCTTCTATGTCTCACTGCATCCAGGAGGCTCAGCTACTGCACCTTGACTCTAGGACGAAGGTCTGGGGAAGAGGGATCATCAGCGCTCAGTAGAGGGACTCGGTAAATGTCACTTTCCTTCCCCACAAAATGGAAATCTCACAGCTGCCCCTCTTCTTTCCAGACTCTGAAACAAGTCCTCTGTGACTTTCTGAGGCCATTATCCCCATTAATGATGGAAACGCAAATAGTTGCAATGCAACCTATCTCAAACCTCATGTTGCAGGCCTCCTTCTACATGTCCCATGGAGAAAGACAAGGGGGAGGCCTAGTGTACAAGCAGCAGGATGGTGAACATTGATGGCTGACTCCCGCAGTGTGCACACTGCCTCGGGACTGGTCTCATCTGACATGGTGTCTATTTCCCATGTGGTCAAATACTTTAGAGGCAGACATATGACTAGCTTTGGATCTATTAGAGTTGAGGAAAGGCCTGCTGAGAGATACTTGGCAAGTATTTCTTGCTTTTACAAAGAAGACAGTGGAAGATATGATTCCGTTTCTGCCTCTGATGTGGTGATGTCTGGATGTACTGTCTGAAACTGTTAGAGTCATCTTGCAACCATGAATGGCTTCAGCCTCCAGATAAGGCCAATGCTGTGTACAGGAGAGAATGAATTAGGACCAAGAGTGGAAGGTCAGTGGAGATGGACATTTTGCCCTAACTTCATTCTTCTTCCACTTTGTCTCTAATAAACAGATGCTTTTATACAGAGTCAAGTGTTACATGCCCATGTGGTCAGACAGGCTTGGGAGAAACTGTTTCTCACACTTTTTTTCTCTTTCCAAACACCAAGACATCATCTTGGCACAATACCAGGCATCCCCTCAGAGGATTTCTAGGGTGATAACATTTGCAAGGGGATGTGGATGAAAAAGGAGAATGAAGGAGAAAAAGGAAAAGAGAACCCTACCTGTGATTTTAGGGAGTAAGAGAATTCTTGCCCACTCGGAATTTGTAGGTAAGGATATACAGATATAAATTGGGTATATACAGGTACATTGGACTTTCATACAGACTGTTTAAGTGTGCATAATCATGGGGCTTCTTCCCCTATTCAAGTAGGGGCAAGAGGCCAGGTCTGTCCTAGGTTTAGATCTAAGGAACTTTGTCTGATCTCAGGAGCAGGCTGGATTGACCTTGGATGTGAAGCACAAAGAAAATAGTAACTGAATTTTTTTCTTCAGGTGACAATGGCCCAGAAAGCAAGAGAAACTCCAAAGCATCAACACCAAAATGGAAATCAAGATAAGAATCCAAAACAGAGGGTGGCAAAAGCAAGGAGCCAGCAGAAGGGGCAGAGCCCGGAGGCCACAGTGTATGATGGGAGAGACCTCTGGCTGAGCCTGTGAGGAAAGGGCTGAGAAAGGGTCTAACACCAGGTCTCAACTCTAGTTTAATGGATGATATGTGAATTGCTGGCAAAAATATTAAGTATTAGTATTTTATTAATAGATTTTATATATTCACCAAAAAACTTAGTAATAGTCCCAACCCATCTGCCAGTCATATACTTTAAATGCCTCACATAGATGGATGGCAATGAACTGAGCAGACCAAAATTTTCTGTCCTAATTTAACTCAGGCCTGGCATCTGGGTAGGGTCTATGTGGAGGATTAGCGCATTATAAACCTATGTTGTTTTTGCCTGTTCCCTCAACTGGAGCCATGCTCTTTACATCCCATCCAACTTTGAAACCTGGATGCCCTTTCCTTTCTCAGACCACCCCAGTCCCAGTGGAACAAGCTGAAGCACTCCAACTCAATGGAACCGCTGCTTTAAACAACTCTCAAGACACTATTCATAATAAGCCTGGAGTTCTTTGGGGTACTTTATTCCTTTCTTTCAGAGATATTCACATGTGCTCTTTTCACTTTTGCAAACTTTTCTGTAAAGATCACTTACCTCTTTTTTACTTCATTTAAGCATTTGAAAATTCATGTTCATGTACATCTTCAGATATTCTCTTTCTCTTTGGGGGACAATGAGAAGCCCTGTCACCTTGGTTACCAAGATCACCAATGGCCTGTAGTTATTGTACAGTGCTGTTCTTGGCAAGGGCCAAGCCATTAGAAACCAGCTGTCTTATAAAATGCAAGTGCTCTGCCATCCCTGGAAACTTCTTTGAGGACGTCTAAGAAATATTATTATCACTTAAACCTACAGTAGGTTTGGTGTATCTACCAAAGGGAAAGGACTGGCTCTGCCCTCCAGCCATCATAAAACCGACACATATGTTTCCAAACATAAAAGACTGAGAAAAAATTAATGCTCTGTGTATAACATTCTTAGCTTTCCTTTTGAGTGGCTGTTTTTAATTGAATGTTACCATTTGGTTTCTATAATGGGTGAAGGACTGAAGGTAGGGAGTGAGGAGGAAAGAAGAAAAGAAAGAAGAGTGATGTGGTACCAGAACAAAGAGAATATTAAAGGCAAGGCAGAATGGCTGAAGGCTGAAGGATGAGGGATGAAGATAAGTCAGGGTTTCAAGTCTTGGCTTTGACACTCACTAGCTGGATGATTCAGTTACTCAACTCTTTAAGCTTGTTTCCTCAATTGTAAATGGGAATGATACTCAAACCTAACTCACCGGGTTGTTGGGGGGACTGATTAAAATCATGCAGGTAAAACAATTAACTAAATAATTCCTAGCACATAGTGAGTGATCAGTAAGTGATCTAGATTATTATCACAATAGTAGTGATGCAGAGATTAAACAGAATAAAATAAAATAAATGCTACGTTCGTTCTATTCATTTCATTCCTGCAATATCATATGTCGATTTTCTCTCTTTGGTGTTCATGGAGAGATAGGGTAGTAGAAATTGGTTGGGTAAAAAACTGCATTCAGGAAGCACCATGTTTCAACCATGTTCTCAAAAAATTCATATGTTGGAATCCTTATCCCTGTGTGATGGTGTTAGGAGGTGGGACTTGTAGGAGGTTATTAAGTCATGAGAGTGGAGCCCTCATCAATAGGATGAATGTCCAAATAAAAGAGACCCCAGAGAGCTTCCTCATCTCTTCCACCATGTGAGGACACAGTGAGAAGACGGCCAACTATGGATCAGTAAGCAGGCCCCCACCAGACACCAAATTTGTCAGCACTTTGACCTTGGACTTTCCAGCTTCCAGAATGGTGAGAAATATATGTCTGTTGTTTATAACCCACTTGCTCTATGGTAGTTTTTTATAGCAGCCTGAATAGAGTAAGACAAAGAACAAACTCACAAGGTCATGCAACAAGTGCCATGGGAGCCACACCACAGCTTCCAGGAGTAGACCATGGCAAAAGGATAATTGTAAGAACATATCTCTTGGCAATCACTTTTCTAGGATATTTAATTTGAGCTGCCATCCTCCTTTCTGTGAACTAGAAGTAAAAGTAATTCACAGACTTGTTTTCCATTTGACAAATCTCCATCTCTAACAGCATCATCTCTCCCAGCCTCCACCTCATCCCTCTCAACAGCTGGGACCAGTTGGGGTCCAGGGTCACTATTCTGGAGGCAGGGTTCTTTGGTATGTGTGCAGTTCCTGAGTTGCTGCTTGGCTGCAATTTATCCTCCCTTCAGGAGATGGAATTGCAGCACACACACCCCATCCAGATGAACTTCCACTGCCCCCGACCTTGGCTACCCGCTGTCTTGTGGGAAACTGTCTGAACAAAACTGGAATAGGAAAGGATGGGGAAGGGCAAGAAAGCTAAAAGAGAATCTTGATCCTTTTCCAGGAACCCTGCAATTTTCAAGCAAGGGCAAATTCTGAGTACATTTTATTCAGATATCAACAATTGTAGCAGTGACTTTCTTGCCTTTGAGAATGAGCTCTCATTATTCTTTCTATAAAATAAAAGTAATTTACAAACTTGTTTTCCATTTGACAATATTGTATTGTCTCAGCTAAAGAAAAGCAGTTTACAGCACCTCACTCAGCAAGCCTCAGAACCATGAGCCTATCTGAGTGCGAGCATCCTGTTTAAGCTAACCAAAGCAATTGGTATCTTCTGTTTGAGTTACCTACAGATATTCCCACTCTTCTTTTCAAGGTGTTCTTTTTCTGGCAGCACCAGTTATCTATTGAGAAACCTAAATGAAGAGAGATAAGCTAGATTCAGCCGAGTGCTGTGGAGGTGGCATGCCAACAGTCCACAAGCGCTGCTCAGTTAGACTTCAATTCACACATCCACACCCAAGTATGTGTAGAATGGGACCCACACGAAGATGCTTTTATTAAATTCTACCATAAGAGAGAGTAGCATAATCATCATCTTTACAGAATAAAGTAAAATATGTTTCTGTGTATTATAAAAACACTGTATCGTGTATATATACATGTGTTTCAAATATTATAATATATACTGAAATATATTTAAGAATATACCTAGAATGTAAGCTTCATGAGGCACGAATGTGTCCATTTGTTTATAGTAGGTGCTCAACAAATGCTTATTGAATGAAAGCACAAATATATAATACATTATTTCATTTGATCTCCAAGGCAATCCTATGACTTAGGAATGAGGAGTAATACTGCTGCCAGCATGTTGTGGCTGAAGGACTTCAAGTGGCTTGGCCAAGGTCACCTAGCTGGTGAGCAGCAGAGTCAGACTGAAGTCCAGGTTATATGACTTCTCATTCCATGCTTTATTGTAAATAGATCTAACTTCTAGCACGTGGGAAAAAAAGAACTGTTTGTTTTCTTCTTCACCAAATAATGCCACTGAGCTAACTTCATTTCACCATCTGTACCTAATTTTTTTGAGCCTAGTGTATTCGGAGCCTGGGGTTGAAAGAATTACTATCCAGTTCTTTAGGCCGTTTTCATTCTTCTCTGCTTCTAAGACAATTCAGAGCCCTTTATGAACTCCTACCACTTTCCCCTTCATCCTTCCACTTTCTTCTTTCCTCTTCTTTGTTTTTGTTTGTCTGTCTTCCCTTTTCCTCCACCAACTGAAGCAATTACTAAATAAGAGACAATAAACACACTCTCCTTGGTATAGAAGAGTGAAGTACCCTTTGGAATCCTTTCTCCTGCTTCAAGCCCTTCATATATCTTCCTGGTAAGCAACACTGAAAAGAGATGAAAGGCAAAAGTTCCATTTATGGAAAAGGAGGTAAAGCTTAGCTAATACACCAGCTGCTACAAACACAACAGACATGCACACGCACATGCGCGCGCACGCGCGCACACACACACACACACACACACACACACATCCTCCTTAATCCTTTAAATGCCTTGATCTTGGGAGAGAGGTTTGGATTTTGAACAAATCATTAGCCTTCCATTTCTTTCTTCTTTCCACCAAACACGAGGAACACTGGACAATGTGTCCAGGCAGTGGCTTTTTAATTAACCACTGGTTATTTTAAAAAATAAAAATAAAAAAGAAGAAGCCCATGTGATATATCCACATCTCCACTCAGAAGATAAAGAGCCAATGGGTAAGACTGAGGATTTTCTTGAAAACAATTTTTTATTTTAGGGGAGCAGCATCAATGTCTCTAAAAATCATGGTGTTCATGGCTATGAATGCCCACTTAGTATTTAGCTTGTTCAGTTTCTTCCTTCCAGATCCTCCTGGCCAAATTTATTGCCCGTGGCTGAAGAAAGGATTTTTTTCCCCATGAAACTTGTTTTGGCTTGAAGTAAAGTTCAAATAATATTTACCAAGATTATTAAAAAACTCTAAAACTTTTTTCTTCTTCAGCATTCAGAGGTGGAATGTCAGAGAGTGTTGACATTAATTTTTAAATTAATATTTTTGGAAGAATTTTCTTTAATAAAAGATCAAATGATTCCCACAATGCTGGAAAGAGGCCACTGATTAGTATCAATGCTTGTCAACGACAAAGTTCAGAACTGCATGCAAGCTCGCTGGTGGGTTTGCACTCAATGGAAATACAAATTGTCTTCTTAAGGAGAATTTTTGGATTTTCATTCAAGCTCATCTTCAGCTCTAGGGCTGAAGTGCTGACCTCAAAAACAACTCTGCTGCTAGCAGAGGAAAGATCATTTCTTTACCGAAACATATAGTCCACATAAATTCTCTACTGCCATATGCCAAAGTATTCTGTAACTGCCTCCAGGCAATTACAAAAGGCTACAAAATTAGAGACTGCCTTGCCCTTTCCAATCTTTCCTTGTTTCAACATCTAGCTAAGGCAGAGGGCAGAAAAGAAGAGAAGGAGCTTCATTCAAAAAGACATGATTTATAGTTGAAGCTCTACCACTCAACTGTGTGGCCCAATTAATTAATTTAATAAGAATACCTCCCTCTCAGAGTGATTGTATTGGTATTTCTCCATGAAACTTACCCTCTTCTAAAATATTCTGTTACATTATTTACATATATAGTTTGGTTAATTGTCTGTACACTTTCTCCCATATTCTTTACAATGTAAGCCCCAGGCCAGGTACAGGTGGCTGGTGCCCACAGTCCCAGCTACTCAGGAGGCTAGGAGTTCAAGACCAGCCTAGGCAACATAGTAAGATCCTGTCTCTTGAAGAAAACAAAGTAAACAACAAAAAAGAATTCCATATGGGAATTACTCACTGCTGTATCCTACCCTACAAATAGTAAGTACAGAGCCACCATTTACTGAGTGTTGAATAGATGAAAATGAAGCCTTCAGCACAGGGCTGGTGTGTGACACCTCCTCCTCTGAGTATACCAGTGACCAGTGACCCCACTCCTGTCGTTGTGAGGTACATAAATTAGACGGAGACCTTCTACAGGACTTGTTTCTTCTCTGCCTTCCTCGCTGTCCTGCTTTCTGTCACAGTACACTTGATGAAGAATACTTTGCTTTCTCTTCCTTCTCTCCTTAGTAGTCATATCTACTATGGCTAGTCACTCCGCCAAAGATTCTGAGTCAGGATTGAGCCATCCTGGGAAGAGGGTGAGCTAAATGGACAGCTTGCCAGACCAAGTGGCCTGCACTGACCTGACTTCCCCTCTCTTTACTTTTTATTTAGTTTTTTTTTTTCTAAAAAGCAATATTCGTGGTTTCTGATGATTAAATAAGGAGTTTCCTTTGTCATTCCTAAAGCTTGGTCATATGTCTAGGTACAGAGAGCATCTGCCCTGACTGGTTTGAGACATTAGCCTCTACCACACAACAAGCAGCCAGGGACACTGATTCTCCAAGTGACCAGGCTGCCGGAGTGCCCATAAAGTTTAATACTCCAAGCACAAGACCAGATAGCTCCTATGTTTACCAGAGTAGAGCTGGGGTGACTAAGAATGGAAACAAAGCAAACCATCAGAGGAGATATGGTTCTCAAATAGTCACAAGTCCCAAAGGTCAAAATCTTTTCCTTATTCCTGAAATCAGCTTTTTTCTTTTTCAATTCTAAAGACCCAAACTTTATCTCATAGTGGGAAAAACCAGAGGCCTATCTTGCCTCTCTCTTTTCAAGATGATCATAAGCTTTGGAGATAGCCAGATCTAGGCTGGAATCCAACTCTCTACTGGTAGACCTTGTGAAAAGCAGTTTCCTCATGTACAATGAGACAGTAACACCCAACTCTTAGGATTGTTATGATGATTTCATGAGTTCATGCTTGTAATGCACCTGGTACAGTGCCTGGTACACATTAAGCATTCAGTAAGTGTTCATTTGCTTCTCCCATTCTTACTTACCTGGACTGGCTCTCTCATTAATTATGTAAACCTGAATAACTTATTTAATTTCCCCAAGTCTCAGGATCCTCAGTTCTCAAATGGCATAATTCTTACCTCATAGGTGACAGGTAATAAGAAAATATTACTGTGCCAGCTACAGAGTCAAGAACATCACAAATCCTCAATAGCCAGTGGCTTTTCTTATCATTACCCACCATTTATTAACCACCCATTTTATGTCACAACCACTGAATTCACCCTTTTGGCACTTTAAATCTATGATCTTGTTATTTAATCTTCAAAACAACCCTCCCTAAGAGGTAGGTATGTTTATATTTATATCAAAAATGAGAAAACAGATACCCAAAAAGTTAAACGACCTAGTCAGGATTACACAAATAGTGACTGTCACCTCTAGCATTGGAACTTACATCTCCCTGGCTTCAAAGTCTGTGTTCTTCTCTATGAGTGTGCTATAGTGACTATATGGATTATAAATGAGCAGTATTATCATCATCTTTATTATCTATCCTTTCTCTCCATCCATCCTTTCCTAAATTAGACCTACTCCATCCAACCCATCTGTTCCCTGTGTTCAACCACATTACCCAAGTAGTCTGTCCTCTAATGGCTCACAGGTCCTAGAACACCAAGTCCTGGTGAGTTTGAGGCTAGAGCACAGGGCATAGGCTGCATTGCAACTGTTTTCCTCTTGGCTTTCCATCTTCCTTGTGAATACACTTTCTGTACAGCTTTGGAATATGTAATAGCAGAAGAACGTTCAGAAGCCAAATAGTCATCTTCTAAATGCCTACAGAATGGTCAAGAAATGCAGACACCTGCAAAAATCTGCAGCAGGTAAAAGGAATATAAATAAAGTTATAGCAAACTGCATTCATAGAGGAAAGTATCAGCTGGAGGGAGAAGGGAGGTCAATGACAGAATAAAAAATACCCACGGTTGGCCAGGAGAGTCAGGTTAATGCTGCTAGGGAGCAGCAGGGGTGTGGCACATAGTAGGTACTCAATAAAAAGAGTTGAGTACATGGAAGTAGAAACCATTTTCATTAGATTAATTAATGGGCACTGATTTTTTAAATTGCATATATAATACTGAAGCCCATGGTATGACGGTCAGATCCTGGGTGTGCCCTCTCTTGAACTCTCCCTATTCAGACATTATCAGCCTTTCCCTGAGTCCTCAAAGCTAACAGGCAGTGGCTCCTCTGCCCATGATCCCACTGCTGAAGGGACCTCAGAAATCATATATCTTCATGTTTGGCATCCTGGTCTGTTTGCTCCAGAGTTTCTAGGTCAAAAGTGCTGCATAGGATCTAGAAAGAGGGGAAGGAAGTAATCACCTTCCCAGAGAGGGAGGCTGGCTGCCAGAACCTTCTCTTGGCTCTAGCTCCACCCTGGTCATTAAGCCATGTCAGCCTCTTTACCCTGTTCCCACCTGCAGGCCCTGGCACACTGTTTCAGGTGCTGCATTTTGCCTTGGCAAGAGGCACATATGAGGCTTCTTGGCTGAGGTACTTGTCTTGGTTTCAAGACATCCCTGCTGCTGGTTCCTGCTGTCTTGTTCCTGACCCTCTCTCCCCACTCCATTTAGCCTTCACCTCATGAACCCAGAGTTTCCTGGCTTCTGCCTAAGTCCTGGCTCCAAGTTCTATCATGCTTGCCAAATTCTGGGCACTTCCAAATCCAGCCAAGTGCCTTGTCTGGCCCTGAGCTTTCCTCCCAGGCTTCCCCTGGCTCTTCTAGTCTTGATTCTCAATCTCTGACTCATTGCCTCTCAGTCCTTGATAGCTCTGGTTTAATACCTACTCACCAAGCAGCCAAGATCTTACATATGCCCTGCAGTGATATTTTGTAAGAAATCTAGCGTCATGACCTTTCTTATTATACTTAGGATTAGCCTAAAGGTGATGCTAAGAGTTTTTGTTGTGGTTAAAAGAAAAAAAAGGCAGGGGAAGCAGATCCCCAGACCTTGAGGTCTTTCTAGGGAAAGCCTTCCCATCGTCTCTCCTCCCCTTCCTTCCTCTTAAAGGAACTGTCATTTTAGAGCAACCAGGCATAAGAATTTAGGACAAAATCCATTGGCACCATCTTTCAGGCCTCCAGACTTCATCACCACCACCTCCACAATCACCATCGATAATTTCAATGTTTTAAATGTGACTTTTATTCACTCTCTTGATACAAATTTACTAATTCTTTGATTCATTTAACATAGATTCTTGATGTTTTAAAATATGTAACTCATGGCATAAAATCATATGTTTAAAAAGAACATTTCATTGACGAACAACAGAAATTGTCACTGAACTAATGCTTGATTGAAATTGGGAAATACTAATATTAAGATATATGAGCACTTCCAAAAAGCAACACAGGCATTCCACCTAACAGAGTAAAAAGTGCACTATATACTCCATGCCAGGACACAGCTTAGCTGTAGAGAAGTGCTTCCCAAACCTTTTAATGTCCTGAAACACCTAGAAAATGGCAATATTATGAAGTATATTGGAGTAAATATAGAAGGCTACTCGCAGCAGGACATAATTTTCAAGGCGTTCAGTTTCCCCAGACCCTGGCCAGACACCTCAAGAGCTGAGGGTGTCAATATCTCAGCACATCTGTTACCCATTTGTGGCCCATCAGAGGCTTATGGCACACTGGTAAGCTCTGACTGACCGTAATCGTCTTTCATTCAAAGAGTTTGAGTTCCTACAAATATTTTGAGTGACTGTGCCAGCCACTGTTCTAGGAACTTGGGATGCATCACTAAGCAAACCAGAGAAAGATCCCTGCCTCCATGAGCTTTTGATCTAATGGGAGGAAACATCATAAACATGTGTTAAGCACAATAAATGAGTAGGTGCCGTGGCAGTTAGAAGGGGTAAGTGTTATGGAACAAAGACCCAGAGTGGGGCAAGGGGATTGGAAGTGGGGAGGACAGGGCAGATTTGTTGCTGGATTAAATAGGATGCTCCCAGTAGGCCTCATTGAGAAAGTGATCAAAGACTTAAAGAGGGTGAGGATATTAGCCAACCAGACATCTGAGGCAAGAGCATTCTCTGCAGTGGGAATGGCCAGAGCAAAGATGCTGAGGTGGGAAGAGTGTGCAGGGGGCCCAGAAATAGCAAGGAAGCCAGGCTGACTGGAGATAAGAGTGTGGCAGGGAGAAGCAGGGCCCAGGTCACAGAGGCAACAAAAGGCCTCCGCTTGCTGATGAAAAGTATTCTCAGTCTCACGCAGCAGATCCCAAAAAGGCAGGCTCCGGGCTACCCTCTCCCTGCTGTCATTCCTGTTAGGACACTAGAAGAAACTATAGAATGGGTGATTTGTTTGTAATAAAAGAGGGGTGAGAAGGAAAGCAGCAAAGCATGAAGGACTTAGAAACTGAGACCATCTTACCGAGCCGAATGCATATATTCAAGATGCTTTATGGTGGAGGTTGTCTGGCTCCGACCATCAAGGAGGAGGTGGCTGTTACCCTCACCCACTGTGATGAAGGTTGATTCATCCACTAATAATGCCCCATCCAACCCTGTGACAGACCTTCTCTGGTCCCTGAGGGGCCAGCTCCACTGGATAAGGGGACTCCTGGCATGACAGGAGCAGGTGGACAGTTATATCACATACAGAAGGAAACAGGAACCAAGGCTGAGGTGTCCCGACACAACTGGGAGGAAATCCCATGCAGCAAGCTACTATTTCTGAGCTTCTGCTCCCTGAGCCTAAGCTTCATGTTCTTCAGTAGAAGGACATACGCCTTCAGAATTATGACTGGAAGTCAATGGTTTACTTTCTTGAAAGGTGAAAATAAACTTCACCTTACATACTCTTCTGCTGTTGACTCTAGTGTTCTCTCCTAAGATCAGGAACAATTCTCCAGCTCAGTGTTCAGCCACCCAAAGTCATAGTTCTCTCATCCTTAAGGAAAGAGAGAGTGCTGAAATAGCGGGGACAGGGCATAGGAGATTCTTCTCCCCAGTGGGAAACCAAGTGTTAGATGATGAAATCAGGTCAGGTTTCTGTCACTCAATTCAGAGGAGCCAAATGTCTCTGAGCAGCAAGTCATCACAAGAATACAACATTAATTTCTGCTCCGGGCCTGGTGTCTCCCTGTCTGCAGCATCTAGGAAGGAGGCATGATGCTTACAGCATTTATATTTTCCATGCTGTGGTGAGTTTGGAAACTTCACCCAGCTCAAGACAGAATAAATTTACTCCAGCACAAATCTCTAGATCATTTCTCCTTCAAATGTGGGAAAACAGCACTGAGAAGGTGGAAAGTGTGGAGCACATCATAAATCTAGGGACACAGGAACTCAGAAAGCTGCATGAGGCACATAAAGGAAGCACTGTGCTTTAATATTATTTTCTGTTTAAAATCGACATGTGTGGTTTCGGACAAAGGCCTTTTAGTGTGGAGGAGAGAAGGTTCAGTGTTTCTCCTTTTGAAAAAGCAGAGGAGTGTCTGGGAGAGACAGTGAAGAGATGTGCTCTGGGGTAGACTCTGAAGGAAACTAAAAATAAAACAACAGTACTTTCGAATAACTGCCCTTAGGAAATACAACCACGTAGCCGGCTTCCCAGGATGTGAGCATGTGTCTTCGCGTGCCAGTGATTTCTGTCTCAGTGTGTTACATTTGAATGGGAACAGGTGTTTACTGATGAAACCCCCAAGTTCAGTCCATGCAGCAGGGATTAAACTATCATTAAAAATGTCCCTCTCCCTGTGGATCCCTCTCTCCAGCATAGGAGAGATGAACAGAGCCCCACATTTTCTTTGAAATGTTTGTCATTGAGTATTTTGTTATGTAAAGGTCCAGAGGTGTGGTGGATCAGAGCCAGACTGCCCCACATTGCCTGGGTTTGAATACTTACTCGGCTGCATATGGTAACACCTGTGCAGTCTTAAGGGAGTGGATTAATTTCACTATGCCTGTTTTCTCCTCTGTAAAATGAAATTGAGTAGAATGCCTACCTCTTTGGGTTCCTGCTGGGATTAAATTAGTTAATATGTGAAAAACACTTAGCATCTCCGGACTCATAGGGCTATACCATGTTTGCTATTCTTATCCAATTCTTCCTCTTCAGTAGCCTGGCCTTGAACACTAAACCTAGCATCTTGGCTTTTTTTTTTTTTTTTTTTTTTTTTGAGACAGCAGAGTCTTGCTCTGTTGCCCAGGCTGGAGTGCAGTGGTACAATCTCGGCTCACTGCAAGTTCCACCTCCTGGGTTCACGCCATTCTCCTGCCTCAGCTTCCGGAGTAGCTGGGACTACAGATGCCCGCCACCACGCCTGGCTAATTTTTTTGTATTTTTAGTAGAGAGGGGTTTCACCGTGTTAGCCAGGATGGTCTCGATCTCCTGACCTCGTGATCCGCCCACCTCTGCCTCCCAGAGTGCTGGGATTACAAGCGTGAGCCACCGCACCTGGCCGGCTATTTTTAGAAAAGGAGGAGCAATGCTCTCAACAAACCTCAGCAAAATGATTAAAATGGACGTAGTTTGAATCTTCTTCGTCCTCACTGGAATCTACTTATTTCTTAACTCTGGTGGCCACTTTGGGTTTTGGCCCCTCAGCATCCATCATCTCTCCTTTTGGTCATAGCGCCCTGATTTTGCTTTGGGGAACTCCCCTCTGCTCTTGGATATCTACTGCTTGGGCTCCCCTTCAGTGGGCCCAGGACTAGACAACCCCAAGCAAGCCCCCTCTCACCAGTGGAAGGGTGGGCCTGTGAGCCAAGCTTGGCTCATTGTATTCTCTCATTGAAATTTGTATCTTGAGCAGAAGGGATCAGATATTGGGGGGAATACTGACAGTATTTTTATCAGGCTGCAGTGCCCCAAGGAGCATGTGCCTAAGTTCCCGCTGTCCTGACACCCAAAGCTGCCCCTGTTCTTGGCCCATCTAGGACTCCAGTCTTTAGCATTTCCATTGAGTCCTGCAGATCCTTTTAATAAACTCCTTTCCCCTGTGTTAGTCAGAGTGTGTCTCTTTTTTCACAACCAAAGACCCTAACTGATGTAACTCTTGTTTCCTTAGATTATCTTGCTCTTTAAGTATTTGCATTCATATCATTCTACTGCAATCACATCAGTTTGTTGGTGATGATGACTGGGAGTTCTAAGTAGCTGGAAAACAAGCTACAAATAAATAAATACTCCTGTTTCTTTTAGCCAAGCAAAGATTTTTCATTCCTTTTTTTTAATTGACATATACGAATTTTACATATTTATGGGGTACGTAGTGATGTTTTGACATATATAATGTATAGTGAGCAGATCAGGGTAATTATCATATGCATTATCTCAAACATTTATCATTTCTTTGTGTTGGGAACATTCCATTTTCTTCTAGGTATTTGAAGGTATATATTACTGTTAACTACAGTCATCTTACAATGATATAGAATCCTAGAACTTCTTCCTCCTATCTTGCTGTAATTTTGTATCTTTTAACAAATCTCTCCCTATCTCCTCCCCTCCCCCCAGTCCTTTCCAGCCTCTAGATTCCTCTCTCTGTTCTACTTTGTACTTCGGTGAGATTAACTTTGTTTTTTGAGGCGGAGGCTTGCTCTGTCACCCAGGCTGGAGTGCAGTGGCGATCTCAGCTCACTGCAACCTCCACCTCCCAGGTTCAAGTGATTCTCTTGCCTCAGCCTCCCGAGTAGCTGGGATTACAGGCACGTGCCACCATGCCTGGCTAATTTTGTATTTTTAGTAGAGATTGGGTTTCACCACGTTGGCCAGGCTGGTCTCGAACTCCTGACCTCAAGTGATCCATCTGCCTAGGCCTCCCAAAATGCTGGGATTACAGGTATGAGCCACTGCGCCCGCCCTGAGATTAACTTTTTTAGCTCCTGCATATGAGTGAGAGCATGTGATGTTTAACTTTCTGTTCCTAGCTTATTTCACTAAATATAATGTCCTCTGGTTCCATCCATAATGCCATGAATGACAAGATTTCATTCTTTTATATGGGTGAATAGTACTCTATTGTGGATATACAATATTATCTTTAACTATTCATCTCTTTTTGGGCACCGAGGATGATTCCATATCTTGGCTATTGTGAATAGTGCTAAAATAAACATTGGGGTGCAGATATCTCTTTGATACACTGATTTCCTTTCCTTTGGATAAATGCCCAGCAGTGGGGATTGCTGGATCATGTGGTAGTTCTATTTGTAGTTTTTAAAGAAACCTCTATACTGTTCTTCATAGTGGTTGTGCTAGTTTAGCAAAGAGAATGGGGTCAGAGTCCCATCAACAGTAAATAAGACTTCCCTTTTCCTCTGCATCCTCTCCAACATTTGTCGTCTTTTTGTCAATTTTGATAATAGCCATCCTAACTGGGGTGAGATACCTTATCGTGGTTTTCATTTGCATTTCCCTGGTGATTGGTGATACTGAACATCCTTTTCATGTATCTATTGGCCTATTTTTTAATCAGGTTTGGTTTTTTGCTGTTTGAGATCCTTGTATATTCTGGATATTAAGCCCCCATCAGACGAATGTTTTGCAAATATTTTCTCCCATTCTGTAGGTTGTCTTTTCACTCAGTTGTTTCTTTTGCTGTCCAGAAGCTTTTTTAGCTTGAGATAATCCCATTTGCTTATTTTTGCTTTTGATGGCTGTGCTTTGGGGGTTTTATCCATAAAATCTTTGCCCAAACCAATATCCTGAAGCATTTCCCCTATGTTTTCTTCTAGTAGTTTCATGTCTTACATTTAAGTCTCTAATTCATTTGGAGTTGGTTTTTGTATATGGCAATAGGTAGGGGGTCTCGTTTCACTCTTCTGCATATCGATATCCAGTTTTCCCAGCACCATTTATTGAAGAGACTGTCCTTTTATCCATGAATGTTCTTGGTGTTCCTGTCAAAAATTAGTTGGATATAGATACATGGATTAATTCCTAGGTTCTTTATTCTTTTCCATTCTTCCATGTGTCTATTTTTATGCCAGTACCATGCTGTTTGGGTTATTACAGCTTTGTAGTACACTTTGAAGTCTGGTAGTGTGATGCCTCTGGTTCTGTTATTTTTGCTCAGGATTGCTTTGGCTATTCAGGCTCTTTTGTGTTTCATATCAATTTTAAGATTTTTAAAATATTTCTGTGAAAATGTCATTGGTATTTTGATAGGGATTGCATTGAATCTAGATTGCTTTGAGTAGCACATGCACAGATTTTTAAAAGCTGACAGATATTAGGAGGCCATGAAGGTCAAAGAAGATAGACATGTTCGAGAGATAATGAGCTATCCTGGACTCTAGAAGTAGTGATGTTGTAAGTAGAGAAGACCTAGGAGCATGTTGTGGGCAAAAATGAGAAGAAGGTATTAAGGCAAGTACTTGGTAAGAAGAGTTTGGAGAAAGCGTAATACAAAAGCAACCAGAAAGAATAAGGAAGACAAGGAAAGGTAGAAAGTATAAGTAATGAAGAGGAGGGTCAAGGGTGAAAATGGGAACAGTGAGGGCAATTGTTAAAATACAAATGCCACTGGGTGGGAAACTCAGCACTGTTATTTACCTCTCAGTGTTCCCAAGAGTCCAGCAGTCCTTTACCTGCCAGGAAGCTTTGTTAGGAGAGAGGGTGAAGAAAGCACTTTTAACAGTGAGGAGGGGTGTGGAATAAAAGAGAAAGAAAGGGAGTCCAAAGCATATTCTTTGACTTCACATTTTAGCTTTCAGCCAGGCTTATGGGTAAGTGAGGCATGGTGTGGAAAAGGATGATGTGACAAGAGAAAGTGGGTAAAGGAAGGAAAGTGAAAGAAAGGAAAATGGCAGAAAGAAGTAGAAAGAACAGAAGTAGGAAAAGAAGTATGAGAATGGCACCGAGGAACCAGACCATGCCTGTTCACAAAGTACTGCTTGGCCCACTGCTGGGTGAGAGAGCCACTTTTGGAAGGATGGAGCCACTCATTGCCATGCTGTGAAGAGAACAAACCTCCCCATTAATGATTGACCAAGTAACTGCAATAATGGCGGCAGTGAAATATTAGCCATGCTTGGTTCAGTGGAGATTTCTAGAGCACTAGCATTAATATTCTGCTTTTACTCTACTTAGCACTGTCTGAAACCTTAATGTTTCAGAAAACGCATGAGACTTTTGCATTTTCTCCTGGCCTACCAATAGTTTCTCTCAACTTATCTTGGCATAACATCTGAGACAAGGACCCAAAGTGAAGGTTAGAAGAAAAGTAGCCATGCAAACAGCAAGAAACACAGCAAGATTAATTAGAGGATGCAGGGCCCACATCCCATTTTGGTAGGAATCTGGTCCAAATAGGGAGGGCCAAATTGGGCCCCAGGGAGGCCAAAGCTGCCAAGGAACAGATGTTCTTTTATCCTTTTAGTGTAAAGACAAGTCCACCACGTGGAATGACATGAAGCCTGGGCAATGTGGTATTTTTTTTCAGTTATTAATGATATACGCAAATCCAGTTAATCATGCCATTTGAAACTGTTATGTCAATTACAAACTTAATCTTTTTTAAAAAAAATGCTTTTCCATATCACACACATAAAAAGTCTTCCTACTGAATCACAATAGCAGAACAGAGCTCAAGGTAATACTGTCAGCAGCTAGTAGGATCCACTTCACTTCCTAACAATGGTAAGGTGCTTTAGTGCAGGTACTAAGACAGAAGTTAGAAACAGCACAGTCTGGAAATATGCTGTATGTATGAATTTTTATCCTAAAAAATAACATGTAGATGTTAATGCTCTGTGGGTTTTTATCTTTTATTATTTGTCACATAATAATTGTATATCTATATGGGTACAGAGTTGATATTTCCATGAATATATACAATTAGTGATGATCAAATAAGGGTAATTAGTATATCCATCACATCAAGCATTTATTATTTGTGTTGAGAACATTCCAAATCCTCCCTTCTAGCTTTTTGAGAAAATACAGCAGAGTTGACCATATTAACCCCACAGTGCTAGAGGGCACTAGAACGTATTCCTCCCATCTAGTTGTCATTTTGTAACTGTCCCCCAACCTCACTCTGTGCCCTCCTCCCCCTACACTTCCCAGCCTCTAGTGACCACAATTCTACCCTCTATTTCTGTGAGTGTTCTGTTATTTTTAACTTGGCTTTCTTTATCACCGGTTCTGAAACTGGATATACAAATATTTTGTTACCAAGAACAAAAATTATTTTTTGTTCATGGCACACATAAAAGCTATTTTTCTCTTCAAAGGGGAAAAAAGTTACCATGTGTTGAAAAGGAAGGGGAAAAAACAGCAACAGCTACACTCTAGAACATGAAACGCAGCTGGATGGCTACAACCGTCCCAAGTGCCTTCTGTCTAATTTCACAAGAGGCTTCTCAGAAGGATGTATGTCTTTTTCATCCTTAAGATGCCCACAACACTTTCTCAGGAATCTAAGAGGATTTTTAATAACTCTTTACTTCCTAGGGCATTTGTCCTTCATTCAAACCTAAATTCATCTCTATTTTTTTCCTACTCTCTTCTCTGTGAAATTAGGGCAGAAATATCCCTCTAATTAATTACATTTTATTTAGAAAGAAAGAATCTCATTCAGACAAGCAACAACCCTTATTCATAGAAATCTCATCTGTGATGCCTTATTAACTACAGATTTGTTTTCTAAATTATTATTTTTTAAATTGCTTTTTTTTACATTTTTAATTATGAAAAAAGTCAAAATATACTAAAGTAGGGAGAACAGTATAATGGAGCTCATGTACCAATCACCCAACTTCAACGATGATCAATTCATGTTTTAGTTAGAGTCCCACTCCTCCCCACATCCTCCCCAATATTATTTTATTTAAAGTAATTCCTATCCATGATATCATTTCACTAGTAAATATTTTGGCCTCTATTGCTAAAAGATAAGAACTTGTTTTTAAAACATAACCATAATAAAATCATCACACCTAAAGGAAAACAAAAATTATTGGATGTTGTCAACACCCCCCACCCCCACCACACAAACACACACACATACACACACACACACACACACACACACACACACCATTGGTGATAGAGGCTGTGCTTCATTGCCTAGCAATTCCTTCATGACTGAAGGGCTGATGCCTCACTGGCTGGCTGTGCTACTGGCTGACAGTCCTCAGCTTCTGAGCCTTTTCCCTCAAGGTCATGTGCCTTTCCCTGGGGCAGCCCACATTCAGTGACTGCTTGATGCGTGGTTAAAGGTCCATACCCTAACTTGGCACTCCACTGAGGAGACATCTGGGCCTCAGTGCTTCCAGTGGGGTCCCTCAGCAGAGGACATGTGGCAACTGCATTTTAGTCCAACTTCTCCATGCGTCCAATCCTGCTGCCTCCCATCCACCACCCGCAGGTGTTGATCCCGGGAGCACTCCCCAGTAAATGTCCTGCATGTCAATCTTTGTCTCAGGGTCTACTTTCCAGAGATGCAAACCTGCAATAGCTTTCAATTTTCTGTTTGTCTCATAATGTTGTAAATAACTTGTCTGTTTATTGTAGTGTTAATAGATTGTTTACTTGAGTTAGGAACTAAAGAGAGTCCTAATTTGGAACAGTGCAACTGGTTGGTACATCTTGTAGGTACCAACTTACAGGAAGGGTAGGATCCCCTCCATCTCTCTTTTTTCTCCTTGCAATTGAGGCCTCTGCACTTACAAGATACCAAAAAAAAAATTAAGAAAGAAAAGTTTTTAAGGTTTAAAGTTATAGTTTTCTTTAAGATTATAATATCTATGATGAAGAACATTTGTTCTTTATAAACAGAGACTGATTTTCATTTTCACAGATATCAGTCACAACTGAATATGCAAAATACCATTGTGAAAAGCTACAAACTGTAATTAATCAAGACGGACAGGGTCTCAACACCATAGAAGCTTCTGGGATGGGGTGGTGTGGGGTATCGGAAGATATATGAGAAACAATTCAAGGTGGTAAATTGCTTTATGGTAAGTTCAGTACCTATACCTCTAAATACAGAATACTTTAAGTGAGATTGAGCCAACCCTTTAGAGAGAGAGTAGGTTGCAAAGAGCTTAAGAGAAAACAACTGCCACAGCTTTCATCCATATTGTCCTTCAAAGGGAGAGCTTAATTTTTTCTATTGTATATTTCTCTGCTATAATTCAATAATATTTAAGTACTCAGTATACGCTACAACACTAGATATTTTCTAGATCTTGCAAAGATTAAAATAAACACTTCTTCCCCAACTAATGAAGTTGTTAATATGGATATATTCAATTCTCAGAAATGTCTTATCAAAACATATTATTCTAAAAATATGCCTTTGTGCCTTTAATTTTAAAAGTGGGCTATTGGTTCATACACAGGTCCTTTCATAAACCTAAGGTTTCCAACAGTGAAAAAAAAATCTGTTATTGGTCCTGGAGTATTTGCTATAATGTATTTTCTTTTTCGCTTCATGACAATTAAATTCATATCATGACTGACACATCTTGCTATTTGGCCTTTCCAATCATTGACGCTCCTTCTTTAAGGGGATTACTTAACTATCTTTGTAAATGATTATTTTTATTTTTTTCTGAATATAACTTGAGGAATTTTTCTCAGAATATCTAAGTCAAATTCCATCTCTGTCTCCTAGAATTGAATAACTATGTTAATCACATGATTGAACATCAAAAGGCTAAATAAATGACATAGTCTCTTGGTGCAAGAAGCACTATATGGCACGAAGAAATGACAGGTATAATCTAAAGATGGATTTTCCCTCATGCAAAAAACAGCCTAAAAGTTTGAAGGAACGTTATAAATCATCTAATATCATTCTTATCTAATGAAGGAATCTTGTATATAGTATGACTGACAATTGATAAATACTTTGATTCATCCATGTATCCAACCATTCACTCACTGAACAAATATTGGTCATCTACTGTGTGTGAAACATCATGCTAATTGCTGGAGTAAGATAATGATGCGTAAAAACAGACAAGGTCCATTTCTTTCTGGAGATTATAGTCTAGAGGTGGAGGGAGAGACAAAATGTAAAACTGTGACATGCACTATAAGGAAAGGTATCCAGGGCTATGAAAATGGGAAGGATTGACTCAGTCAAGGAGGTTGAAGAGGGCTTCTCTGAGAAAACAGTGCTAGAGATGAGATCTGAAAGAAGAGCAAAAATTGACTATGATGAAGAGGGAAGGAAAACATGTTCCAAGAATAGGAAACTACATGTGCAAAGGCCCTGTGGCAAGTGTTTTTAAAAAGGAAAAGATGGCCGGGTGCGGTGGCTCACGGCTGTAATCCCAGCACTTTGGGAGGCCGCAGGCAGATCACGAGGTCAGGAGATCAGACCATCCTGGCTAACACGGTGAAAACCCGTCTCTACTAAAAATATAAAAAATTAGCCGGGCGTGGTGGCGGGTGCTTGTAGTCCCAGCTACTCGGGAGGCTGGGGCAGGAGAATGGCGTAAACCCGGGAGGCGGAGCTTGCAGTGAGCCGAGATCACGTCACTGCACTCCAGCCTGGGCGACAGAGCGAGACTCCGTCTCAAAAGAAAAACAAAAAAGGAAAAGATAACTGTGATTGGTGTAGAAAAGGCAAGGCGATGAGGCACGACTGAAACATCCCATGCTGTGTTAAGGCAGTGAAGAAACACCTAGGAAGCTTAAGAAGGGATGTGGTGTTACCAGATTTCCAATAGAAAATTCACTCCAGCTACTGTGTAGAGAACAGAGGGGTAGAGTAAAACTAGCTAGGAGTTACATAAGGGTCCAGGAAGAAGGTGATGATACTTTGAACTAAGGTAATGATGGCAACCATGGAGAAGAAGTGAACAGAAGTAAAAGGTGGGTGTGTGGGAGGTAAAATTGACAGGGCTTCCTGAGGGACTGGATATAGCGCCTGGCTAATTTTGTATTTTTATTAGAGACGGGGTTTCTCCATGATGGTCTGACTGGTCGCAAACTCCTGACCTCAGGTGATCTGCCCGCCTTGGCCTCCCAAAGTGCTGGGATTACAGGTGTGAGCCACTGCGCCCAGCAAGGCAATGTATCTTTACTTTAGTTAATGGTGGTGTTAGCAGAGGTGGTGATGGTATTAATAGTGGTAGGACAGCAGTTTTGTTATATCCTGTCTCTTCATTCTCCTCTAGAAAATATCTTCCCTGGCTGGGCACGGTGGCTCATGCCTGTAATCCCAGCACTTTGGGAGGCCTTGGCGGGTGGATCACTTGAGGCCAGGAGTTCCAGACCAGCCTGGTCAACATGGCAAAACCTCATCTCTACTAAAAATACAAAAATTAGGTGGGATGATGGGGCACACCTGTAATCCTAGTTACTCAGGAGGCTGAGGCACAAGAATCACTTGAACCCAGGAGGCGGAGTTTGCAGTGAGCTGAGATCGCACCACTGTTACTCCAGCCTGGGCAACAGAGTGAGACTCCATCGCAAAAAAAAAGTTAAAAGAAAGAAGATATCTTCCTGTTATCCTTAGCCTCCCTAGAACAACTACCCTACCTCTCCTGCTATTCTCACCCAGGCCCAAACATGTAAGTATATTAATATTATCTCTTTCCAACTCTCAGATCCTATTCACACCACTACCATCCAACTACAACTACAGTGGAGCGTGCTCTTGCCAAGCTGCTCTTCCTAGTTTTCAATCCACTGGACACTTTACATCTCTTACTCGGCTACATTTGATATCCCAAATGCCATCTTCTTAAAATGGTTTTCCCCTTGGATTCTTTCCCTGTCTCCTTCTCTGATTCCTCCCGCTCTATCTTCCCTTTATATTGGCATTCCCCAACATTTATCCCTAGACCAATTTTCTTCTCACTCTACACACTAACCCTGGGCAATATTACCCTCTCTTATCTTCCTATATGCTCTTGATATCCAAATATAATAGATAGCTCCAGTTCTGATCACTCCCCAGAATTAATCTGTCTACTATCAATGAGCAAGTGGACAAAACACGGGAACATTTCAAAACATCACTTTTTCCTCCCCCAGCTCCAACATGCATGCACATGCACACACACACACACACACACACACACACACACACGATTCTTTTCTTATATTCTCTCTGGGTGAGTGGAGCCAATTGTAGTCATTTTCTCAATAAATATCTATTGAAAGTTAACAAGTGCTTGCACATATCTAGCCAATGATGAAAGCCAGAAACGTCAGAATCCCAATTCCTCTCTCCTCTTATTCCTCAGATCTAATGGTTCGTCAAGTCCTATACATTCTATCCCAGAAACACATTTCCGACAACTGATCTCTTTCTCTCCACCCGCTTCTGCTACTGAATTAGCTCAGAGTCTCACTGCATCGCAACCATCTCCTAAACTATTTCCTGGTCGTCAGTCTCTTCCACTCCAGTCCCTGTTCCATGTGGCCACCAGAATAAGCATGAGAGTATAATTTAATCACATTACTTCCTTATAGAAAAACCTCCACTGACTCTCTTGCTTGCCAGATTCCATAATATTGCTTTAAAAAGTGATTTACAATTGAAATGCAAATGTGATCTAATTTTGTTTTACTCCCCTACTCTGAAAGCCTGAATTGCTCTTCATCATTTCCTGGCATATGCTATACCTGGTCAATTTTCTACACAATTCATGCAATGGACTGAGCGTTTGTGTTCCCCACAAAATTCATATGTTGAAATCCTGAACCCAAGGGGACTGTATTAGGAGGTGGGGCGTTTGGTAGGTAATTAGGTCATGAGGATGGAGCTCTAAGAAATGGGAATACTCCTTATAAAAGGGACTCCAAAGAGCTCTCTCACCCACTTCTGCCATGTGAGTTCACAGCAAGAAGACGGCTTTCTATGAGCCAGGAAGGGGGCTCTTGCCAAACTCTGAATCTGCCAGTGCCTTGAACTTGGACCTCCCAGACTCCAGAACTGTGAGAAATCAATGCATGTGCTTAGGCCACCCAGTTCATGGTATGGTTTTAGTAGCCTGAACTGACTAAGATGATTCACATTATAAACCCTAACTCCAGGATTACCTTCTCTGGTAAGCGTTTACCAATTCTTCAGGTAAACAAGCCTCTGGTTTTTTTTTTTTTTTCCATTGTCCCGGAATTTTTTTCTTTTTTTTTCAAACTCATATCTTAGCACTTAACAAGATTTATTATAATTATTTATTTATATTTTAGTCTGTCACACTAGATTATGATCTCCTTGCATATCGGGGTCTTGTTTATTTATCTTTATACTTTCACTGCCTAGCACAGGACATGGCATATTGCAGGCAATCAATAAACATTTGCTAATTAAACAAAACAAGGAGTTAAAAAGTAAGTGCATGGAAGAGAAAATGTCATGCCCAAGGCACAGAAAAGCATGTTGTTCTTTGTGTATGTCTAGCAGCACAGTATGACTGGTGCTTATAATAGTTGAGAAAGGATGTAAGAGAAGAGTTTGGAAAAGTAGGTTAGGGTCATATTGTGAAATGTATATCAGGCTGAACTTATATTTTATCTCATAGGTGATTAAGAGGCTATGAGGAATCAGCCTGTAATTTTTAGTTTGAAATTCTTATGGTATGATTTTTATGGGCTTATAGTTTGAAATTCCAGCTGTATGATTTCTATCAGTTAGACTTTGGTAGCTGACAACAGAAATCACTCTAACTAAGAAGAAAGGAATTTATGCTACAATACCAGGTATGTGGTTCACAAAAACATTGGAAGGCTTGGAAGAGCAGACTACGCAGAGGATCTAGGAGAACCTCTCAGTCTCCAGAATCACAAGACGCCCCTTGGTAAACAATGTTGCCCCCACCTGTGCCGAAAGTTGCCAAGTAAGGAAGCTTCTGCCATAGTCTGCACCAATAAAAATGGGTGCCTTGCTTAACTCAGTTCTGAATTCATGTTTCATACAACTACATCTGATTGATGGAACCTAAGTTACATTTGAAAACCTAGCTGTAAGAGGATCTAGGAAATGTAATTTGTGGCTGCCAGACTCTACAATACTAGAATGAGGTTGGAATGGATGATGAGTGAGGCAATCTGCTGTATCAACCACAGTTCTTATGTTTCTAAGTACGTATTTTATTTGGGGTCAATGAGAGCTCTTTACTTCCTATACTGCAGATGGTGTATTAGTTATTTACTGCTGCAATAATGCCAGGTAACAAACCCAGATATCTTAGTGGCTTGTAGCAAAAGACATCTGTGTTCTTACTCTCAGGTCTGCAGGTCAGCTGGGTGGCTCTGACTCAGGCTGCAGTTGGGCTCTATCTAGTCTGTCCCACATGTCTTCACTGTGAGGCCTAGGCTGAAGGCGGAATAGCACAGAGAGTGTGCTTTTCTCATGACAGATCCCAAGAGTGCAAAAGAAAAAGCTACACTTCATGAAAAACATGAGAAGCTCCCTATTATAAAAGCAGCAAAATATCTTGCAGATTCATTCCTGAATGCTAGAGAAGTAAAACAGTGCCCCCCACCCAATATAGAAGAGGGGAACTAGCAAACACAAATTGTCTTCACAATCAGACCAACCCTTTGAGACTAGAATGTAGCAAACTAAAATGAGATGTAGACTGAGTCACAGCCTTTGAATCTTGTGAGAAAAGAAGCTAGGAGAGGATCAGGAGCATGTTCTTTGAATAATTTCATGCTTCTTGCATCATCCTTGTTTATTTCCCTCTTGTCCTCTCCATTTATTCATATAATAAACAAGTATTAACCATCTAGTATGTACCAGATGGTGGGCTGAATGCCTAGGAGTCAACAATAAGAAAGACAGTGAAATGCCTTTGCAAACATTATAAAAGTGAAAGAGATCTGATCTGGCCCACCCGAACTCTTGCCTTTAGCTTTCAAGCTGCCTTAATCATTCCTGGGCTTAGGCTGAGCTAACTTAGTTTATAGTTTAAATGATATTGGGCCTTCCCCAATACTCAATTGTCTTTGTAAAGCTAATGAAAGGCCATTAGCCTGGGGAAAGAGAGGGATCTGAGTTCTGCTAAG
Source organism: Homo sapiens (assembly GCF_000001405.40). Classification (NCBI taxonomy): domain Eukaryota; kingdom Metazoa; phylum Chordata; class Mammalia; order Primates; family Hominidae; genus Homo; species Homo sapiens. The sequence goes on along the minus strand of NC_000012.12, from coordinate 27,906,512 downwards.
ATGTAGACATAAATTGCCAGACATTCCTGCAGATAATACCAGTATTGTAGGTTGGCCTTTGAAATATCTTTTCAGGATTTTTACATGTCTGACACTACCTGGACCTGCCAATCCTGCTCTTGTGACCTCACCCAGAAGTGACTCAGCACAAGAGGACATCTTTGACCCCCTATGAGTTCATCTCCTTCCCAAGAAATCAGCAGCAAGCCTACCCACCCCCACCTTTTCCCGCAAACGGACTTTCAAAAACCTCTAACCTACAAGCTTTGGAGGAGATGATTTGAGTACTAACTCCATCTCCCACATGGAATGGTTAGCTTCGTGTCTATTAACTCTTTCTTTACTGCAATGCTGTGGTCTTTATTTGTGCAGCAGGCAGGAAGAACCCCTTGGGTGGTTACAATAGACATAGATCCCTGGAGTATAGAAGCCAATATAGATAAGTAACTAGGTATTAATAATTAAAATAGTGTGGTGTAAGCCAAAAATAAAATTATAGGCCCCCCAAACAACTGGATGGACCCCTCATCTTGGCCAAGGGGATCCCAAAGAAACCTGAAAAACTAGTTCAACCTGAAAAACTAGTTCAAGCCACGATGGGAAAGGAGGTATTGGACATGCCTCATTATAGCTTTTACCTTTGGGGTTGAGGCAAAACTGATCAGCATTAACACCAAACTAAAAATCATAAGAACGACAAAACAGACTCTTTGTGGCAATAAGATACCCAGCTCCAACCTGACTTTGGAATGGCATTGCATGACAGATAACAGGCCCTCAAGGAAATCAGAGTATGTTACCCCCAAATATATTTGTTTGACATACTTTGAAATGCCCTGCAAAACTGTCTCTTGTAGGGGAATTTGCATTCTGTAGACTCTTCTTCCCCTTCTATGTATTTTCCGCATCCAGTAGATATTTAACTAAGAGTCTGACCCCTTTTAAGGTATGAAAAGAGACATTTACTTACCATCTGTTCTCTCTGAAGCCTGCTACTTAGAGGCTTCATCTACATAACAAGAGCCTTGGCTTCTGCAGCTCCCCTTAACTCAAGCATTTCTTTCTGCTGATGTCAACTCTTCAGGCAAAACTTAACTCTTTCAACCAACTGCTCATCAGAAAATCTTTAAATCACCTATGACCCGGAAGCTACCACACCCATCCTGCGAGATGTCATGCCCTCCGTGCCAAACCAATGTATACCTTACATGTACTGATTTATGTCTTTGCCTGTAACTTCTGTCTCCCTGAAATGTAGAAAACTAAGCTGTAACCCAACCACCTCAGGCACATGTTCTCAAGACCTCTTGGGACTGTGCCCTGGGCCATGGTCACTCATATTTGGCTCAGAATAAACCTCTTTAAATATTTTACAAAGTTTGGCTTTTTGATCAGCAGTGGTAAGTGCCATGGAATGGAAAGGAACAAGTTTATGAAAGAAGCACCCCATCCAGACTGAAAAGATGAGTGATAACTAACCAGAAAAAGAAAGAATACTTCAGGTAGCAGGAAAGCTGTGTGTGAAACCCAGGGGCATGGAAAGAGAAGAAAGCCTGGTGTTTGAGACACTCTCTGAGCCCCCCATAGATGGAGTGGAGAATGTGAGTGTGAAGACTGACATGCAAGCCAGGGCCAGCTCACAAAAGGCCTAGTAAGGGTTTAAGAGCAAAGAGCTAGAAAGTTTTCACTTTGCTCCTTAATATTTAGGCAGATATTTTTGAAAGAGAAGATTTCATAGGGCATGATTAGGAGCTTTGAGTGGGAACAGTAGTGGTGGCAGTGTCAGTCAGAGAGGCCCAGAAGGAGGGAGTGAAGCTGATGAGGTGAGCCAAGTTGGGGGTGTCTGTCCTTCTGGTGCCTTCAAGCAGATGTCCTCAAAGGAATCAAAGTGAGGCGTGCCCTCTCCTCCCCTCAATTGGGAGGTATATCAAAATCACCCTGTGGATTTTGAAACCACCTTTGCAAAAGTTATAACTGAGGAAATTATGACAGTGAAAGAGATCAGACCTAACCAACTCTATCTTGCTTCTAACCTTTAAGCTGTCCTTATTCATTCCTGGGCATAGGCCAAACTAACTTTGGGAAGAAATTCAGTTCATGGTTTGACTCTGAAACAAAATTGATAATAGCCCTTTCCCAAAAAGATACCTGACTTGCCTGGGACCAGTCTGTCTTTGCAGGACTAACAAGTTAGCTACAAAGATTAGAAATTATGGTTTAGAGGTCACGCAGCCACTGGCTCCAAGAGTCTGAACCTCTCCAAATTGCTCCTGGGGATAACATCACTATTGTAAAATCTAAGATCAGTGCTTGAGATATTTTGCAGACCCTGCACTGGATGGACCAGCTGACACCACCCAGACTGGTAATCTGGCTCAACAAGTTCTGCCATCCCACTTAGGAACAGAAGACAGCAAGAAAAACTCACTTCGACCCCCTGTGATTCCATCTCCAACCTGACCAATCAGCACTCCCCACTTCCCAAGCCCCTACCTGCCAAATTATCCTTAAAAACGCCAACCCCAAATGCTCAGAGAGACTGATTTTGAGTAATAATAAAACTCCCATCTCCCACACAGCCAGCTCTGCATGAGTTACTCTTTTTCCACTGCAATTCCCCTGTCTTGGTAAATCAGCTCTGTCTAGGCAGCAGGCAAAGTGAACCCATGGGGCAGTTACAAATTTTACAAACACATCACAGTAGTTTTACCACCCCTTCCTGTCTCCCTTTTCCCCCAGCCATCCATACCTATGAACAAGCCACTTTCTCAGGTGTATCAAGGTAGAACAGGTAAAGAAATATTGCCTTAGAGGTTAAGAAGCCGCCGAAAAATTCTAAGATACTTGCAAGCATGAGTGTGTCTTCAAGTAGGGTTGGATACATGGCCAGATTTGTATTTTAGAAAACATCTCTGCTCGTTAGGGAGGGAGAAAGTAGATTGGTGCTCTTGACTAAATGTTTGTGTCTTAAAACTAATATGTTGATATCCTAACCTCCGAAGTCATGGTATTGAGAGGTACAGCTTTTGAGAGGTGATTAAGTCATGAGGGTGAAGCCCTCATTAATGGGATTAGTGCTCTTACAAAAAATAATAATAAACCACAAAGAACTCCTTTGTCCCTTCTGTCACATGAGGACATAGCAAAAAGATGAAAAGACAGCCATCTATGAACCAAGAAGTAAGCCCTCACCAGATAACAAATCTGCTGGCATCTGTATCACAGATTTGCAGCCTCTAGAACTGTGAAAAAATTAATTTCTGTTGTTTATAAGCTACCGAGTATATGGCACTTTGTTACAGCAGCCCCAAAGGACTACAACATTCCGTGCGTTAAGACGCTAGTGCAATAATTACCCCAAATGAGAGATGATGAGGCCTGTATTAAGGTGGTGGCTGTAGGGATGAAAAAGAGGGCCAAATTGCCCAGACATTTCCAAGGTGATATTAAATCTAAGAGTAAGAAAAAGGAGATAAGGAAGATCCTGAGGCTCTAGCTTGGGCAGGAGGAACTCTGTTCTGGGTTCTCCTTGGGGTCCTCTCAGTCAGTGCTGCTGCCCCACCTCCTGAACCCAAGAATCCCCGACTCCTCCTGTAACACTCCGGCCAAAAGAGATAGCCAGCTTCTGAATTTCCCCTGCATACCAATACTTAAAAGTTTTGAAATTCTTTCTAAAATGACTTTTGCCAGACAGTTTGCAGCTCATCCACAAAAATCTATATCGGCAATATTCACTTGGATGCCCCTGGCTAAATCACCTTACCAGTGACTTTGAGACACTGTAGATCTCTTAAACCACATATGTAGAGATTTAAATAACCATCTTACAACATGAAAGAGAGATCTGATGTACAATTTTGTGCCTAGTAAGTCAGTCAAATTATTACTGGCTCTAATTATCACCCCCATAGCTGCTAAATTCTTTACCTGCAGCAGAGTAGAACTCCAGAGGTGAGAAATTCTTTCCTCCCTTTGAAAATGCCAAGGAAAAAACCCAAAGGAGTGACTTCCAATACGAACCTTAGAAATCAAATCAAACCTACACTGTACACAAAGACAGGACAGGCAGAGGGAAAAGCACAGCAAACGTGGAAAATAACTTGGAAAAGATTAATCTTTTAACTCTGTGAATGCTTTAATAGGAACTAAAGCTTTACCTACATGGGACAAATGACCCTAATTCTCCCTCCTAGTGTGTTTGTATTTCTATAAGAAGTTCAATTTTTTTTCTATTTTGTGAGAATTTACAGCATCTGTCTAGAATCCAGGCAGAGAATAATATAATAGATGATCAAAGTGTGAAAACTGACACCCTGGAGAATTCTCTGTGGGGGAAAGTGATGATGTCGTAGGTTGTGTGGGAACAAATTTCCCTTGGCTGCTGTGCCTACCATCACGACAGACATAAAGCAGAATCCCCACGTGGACTACCAAAGCCATCTGAGCCACATGAGATGCAGGTCAGCATGTGTCAACTTCATAACTGGGTTTAAAATTAGGTTTACAGTTAGGTAATTTCTTCTTCTAACTTTTGCAGTAGGAGAATAAGCCCTTAAATCCACTGATATGCCATGTAACTAAATTTATCCTAATGATCCAGGGTTTCTTTTATACTTATGTTCCAGGGATTCAAATCCAGAACTGTAATAATTAACCAAAGTAATTGTATATTCTTACTTCCATATCTCAAGACTGAATAGAAATAGAACTGAGTTCATGATGTTGAGATATAGATGTAACAAAGCATGATGGACATTCTGTCCTGGCTGCATGTTAATGACAGCGATGGAGAACTGCAACCCACTTAAAGAGACACAAAAGAGAGCTGGGACATGGGTTAAGAAGTCATAGAACCTGATTCCACCTTTTACTCCCTACATGGCCTTGGGGAAGTTACCAAAGCCTTCAAAAGTTCACTTTCTTCATTTGTCACAGTTAAGGTACCAGAATTTACTTTATGTGGGTTTGAGAGAGAATAAAATCCAATAATCCATGTGAAAGCCGTAGTTTCTGGGCTGTGGTCTGTGCCCAGGATTACTTACCATGACTGTATCGGTCAGGGTGCTGGCAGGAAACAGAAGGTCAATTTGAGGAAGTTCTAATCAAGGGACTTTTTACCAAGGCAATAGAGCAGGGTGTAGGGAACGCTTGGTGGATAGTGCAGAACCCTGGGGCTCGTAATGACCACCCTGTTATAACCCCTCAGCCTGGAGGAAGCTAAAGAGGGAAGACTGGGCGGAAAAGGCTGTTTAACAGGACCTACAATTCCTCCCAAGAAAGATACCTGACAACAAACACCCCAACCTCACTCTCCCCTTTCCTTCCAGTCTCCTCCGGGTGCATTTTATTAGCCAACACAGTTGAAGACCAGAGAATACAAAAGCTCTTCCTCATAGTCTATGTAGTTCAGCCTCTTGGGCTTCAGACCAGTGTGAAGAAGGGTGGAAGAGCATATAGAAGATATTAGCACGATACAGATTTTTGAGGCTATAATGTTAAATAACCAAGCTCAGTCATTTACTGAGTGCCTAAGATAGTGTCCAGCACAGGATGTGTACTCAAGGAATGTATTTTTATTTTTAGCTATTTTTTATTTTGTTATTTTATTTTAGATTCAGGGGCTACAAGGTGCTGGTTTGTTACATGGAGATATTGTCTTATGGTGACGTTTGGGCTTCTGGTGAACCCATCACCCAAATAGTGAATATTGTACCCAACAGGTAATTTTCTAACCCTCACCTCCCTCCCATCTTTCCCTTTTTGGGGGGCCCCAGTATCTATTTTTTCCATCTTTATGACCATTTGTACCATTGTTTAGCTCCCACCTACAGGTGAGAATATGTAATATTTGATTTTCTGTTTCTCAGTTAGTTCACTTAGGTTCAATGGCCTCAGCTCCATCCATGTTGCTGCAAAGGATGTGATTTCACTCTTTTTTTATGGCTGATAGTATTGCATGGTGTATACATACCACATTTTCTTTATCCAGTCCACCACTGATGAACACTTAGGTTGATTCTTTGACTTTGCTATGGTGAATAGTGCTGCAATAAACATACGAATGCAGGTGTCTTTTTTTCTCTGAGAAATATGGGATTATGGGCCCGGCACGGTGGCTCATGCCTGTAATCCCAGCACTTTGGGAGGCCGAGGCAGGCGGATCACAAAGTCAGGAGATCAAGACCATCCTGGCTAACACGGTAAAACCCCTTCTCTACTAAAAAAAAAAATACAAAAAATTAGCCAGGCGCGGTGGTGGGCGCCTGTAGTCCCAGCTACTCGGGAGGCTGAGGCAGGAGAATGGTGCGAACCCGGGAGGCGGAACTTGCAGTGAGCCGACATCGCGCCACTGCACTCTAGCCTGGGTGACAGAGCGAGACTCTGTCTCAAAAAAAAAAAAAAAAAAAAAAAAATATATATATATATATATGGGATTATGTAAATGCAGGTATCTTTTGGTAAAACAATTTCTTTTCCTTTGGGCAGATACCTAGTAGTGGGATTGCTGGGCGAATGGCAGTTCTATTTTTAATTCTTTGGGTAATCTCCTTAGTGTTTTTCTCAGGGGTTGAACTACTTCACATTCCCACCAACAGTATATAAACGTTCCCTTTTCTCTGAATCTTCACCAACATCAGTTATTTTTTGACTTTTTAATAATAGCCATTCTGACTGGTGTGAGATGGTATCTCACTGTAGTTTTAATTTGCAAAAAAAATATTTTTAATGGATATATAAATTACCTTATTAGTCAGATTCCAGTTCCTTTATGGATATTCTGCCTTTTCCAGAATACGTATGACAAGTAAATCATTCATGGGGTCAAGCCATCGTAGGGTATGTAGAATCAGGAAGCAAAGTATTTTCAGACGGGGCTGTACAGAGAGGCAGAGGATGAATTCCTCCCCTGCCCCAACACACACACACACACACACACACACACAGCTGACAGTGTTGACAAAGCCTGGGTTATGTTTTCAGGCTCTCGAGCCATAACATGCATAGATGAAGAGTCATCATGGTTACAACATCTGAGCAAGCGACTGAAAATCCAAGCCTACGCACTCAGCTCACATTTTCCTTTGTGAGAACATGAAGGGAGAAGTTGCTGCTGACTTCAGAGTCAATGCTGACAGACGATTTCACATGAAAAAACAACACCCATGTAATACTATAGCTCAGTTTGGGGGCTGCTGGAGTTGACACATCATTCAAGGGATAAACAAGTCTGCTAGCTGTCATACCATTTGGCACAGCGAGGGACTTGAGCCAGTTAAAAACAAAGCCCTGCACAAAGAGGCCTAGGCTTACTTGGAGATTTATTTGAATTCTACATGTACATTAGTCCATGATTTAAATCGTTTTGTAAAGTTGTGTCATAGAATGCAACTTTGGGAACAGGGAGAGGATGGAGATGAATATGAAGCATGCTACAAATGATTTTACAAATAGACCATCCTGGTAATGTGTAGCACAAACCGCTGGAATTCAGGGGTGGGGAATTGTCCCTGTCACTTTAACCAACTGCTCATATCACCAAAGCTATCCAAAAATCTGCATGGGAAGAACTCTTGCTAAATTTTAGGAGGAGAAAAATTGAAATGGAAAAGAAAACTTTAGATGTTATCATCTATGAATCATGCACCATAATCAATCAATATAATCTCTGCAAGCAAATGGCTACTAAGGAAGGAATCATATTTTCGAATGTCCTCAACCTCTATGCTTTAATGATAACCAAAAAATTTTCAACATTGTGCTATTTAACAGCATAACGACTATTGGATTTGGATTGTTAAGGCTCTCTTGTTCTAATATTTTTTAATCTATCGCCTGGATCTCTTGTGACTGCATACTCTTTGAAAGGAGGAGGAGGAAAACAAATACTTTCAATATTTGCCTTCATAGTCTCCCTTTACTGGTCACCTTCACATTCATCTAAAGTACTTCCTCAGAAAACTCCTAAAAGAAAAATAACAATTTCCCACTAATATTACAAAAAAAAGATACTTTTTGTAAGTAAATTTTCAATTTTAGAAGAGTTTTAGGTTTACAGAAAAGCTGCTCAGAGAGTACAGTGGGTTCCCTTCTACCCTGGAGCCAGTTTCCTTGTGTTAAGCTCATATGGGTGACACATTTACAACTGATGAACCAATGTTGATGCATTATTATTAACTGAAATCCAAACTTTATTTGGATTTCAAGACTTACTCTATTAAAAGAACTTTGCCCACTGGAAACAGAGCACTGTAACTCTGGGGAGGTGGGGGAATAAATATTTACCTTAACGGGTATGGATTTTGACCTCAACTGCTCATTTTATCTGACCATAGCATTTTTCTACCAATTCAAAACATCACAGGGACAGTAGACCAAAGGACAGAGCACCAGTCTGGAGAAACGTGTTCATGGAGAAGTATGTCTCAGCCTTAATCCTGTTCTGCCTTAGAAAAACGACTCAACTTTTCTTTGATCCTAAGTTCTATTTCCTACAAAATAAAGAAATCAAATTATTAATAGGTGATTTCTGAAACTCTTTACAGCTTGAAATTCTATGATTCTAGAATATCTGAAAACATCTTAATGTTTATGTGGCAAAGGTTTAAATATAAGGTTAGAAGATTGTAATTCTGGCTTTTTTTTTTTTTTTTTTTGAGTCTCACTCTGTCACCAGGCTGGAGTGCAGTGGTGCAACCTCGACTCACTTCAATCTCTGCCTCCCAGGTTCAAGCGATTCTTCTGCCTCAGCCTCCCCAGGTAGCTGGGATAACAGGCACGCACCACCACACCTGGCTAATTATTTTGTATTTTAATAAAGACAAGGTTTCACCATGTTGGCCAGGATGGTCTCGATCACCTGACGGCTTGCTCCGCCCGCCTCGGCCTCCCAAAGAGCTGGGATTACAGCCGGGGGGGTTCTCAATATTCAAATTTGCCTAGAGGAAGTTAATAATACAAAAATGTCTGTTAAGAAGTATCACGTACACAAATGTTTTCACTTAAAGAATGTGGGCCAGGTGCGGTGGTTCACACCTGTAACCTAGCACTTCGGGAGGCTGAGGCGGGTGGATCACTTGAGGTCAGGAGTTCGAGACCAGCCTGGGCAACATGGTGAAACCCTGTCTCTACTAAAATACAAAACTTAGCTGGGCGTGGTGGTGCACGCCTGTAGTCCCAGCTACTCAGGAGGCTGAGGCACGAGAATTACTTGAACCCGGGAGGCAGAGGCTACTGTCAGCTGAGATAGCGCCACTGCACTCCAGCCTGGGCGACAGAGTGAGACCTTGTCTCAAAAAAAAACAGAATATGGCTAAAATTTACAAAATTTACAATATAAGTAATAGCACAGGGATAGTCATTCAATATTGACTTTAACATTGTCCCATTCTCTTATAGTCTTCTAAAGACTTCTTATGCCATTTCATTTCTTCTCATAAGTAACCCAGAATAAAATCTAATGTTGATATTTTGTATCCTTTTCTTTAAAGAAGAAAAATAGACTACAAATTCTAGTAAACAAGTTAGTGTAGATTATTCAGCATTGATAAAAATGTGCTAAAGCATCACATCAGAATTTTACCTACAATATAAAAGTCAAGTTTTTATGCCTGACTATAGACAAAGTACCAACATCTTATTGACTCAAGAGTGAAGAACTTTTATAAAGGTAAGGCATATTCAGCATGTACAAAATGTCTTAACACCCAGCAGATGACATCATTACAAAACTAGGAAACTTGAAGGCAAAACAGAAGAAACAACATTTTCACTAACTTAAAGAAAATGTTATATTCAGTTTTCATAAAAAATTTAATGAGCATGTTTATGAAAGTAGAGGTCATACAGGAAGAACATGATGTCGCTGTCCAAAAAAAAGGAGCTTGTGACAGTTGAAAGGGAAAATCCCCAGCTCTTTCAAGGCCTCTTCTATGTTCTTAAGGGGAATTATGCATCTGAATTTTTTTTTTTTTGAGAGTCTTGCTTTGTCGCCCAGGTTGGAGTGCAATGACACAATCTTGGTTCACTGTAGCCTCTGCCTCCCAGGTTCCAGCGATTCTCCTGCCTCAGTCTACTGGGTAGCTAGGATTATAGGCACCCACCACCACACCCAGCTAATTTTTGTATTTTTAGTAGAGACAGGGTGTCACCACATTGACCAGGCTGGTCTCAAACTCCTGACCTCAGGTGATCCGCCCGCCTCGGCCTCCCAAAGTGTTGGGATTACAGGTGTGAGCCACCTCGCCTGGCCGCATTTGAAAATTTTTAAGTGGTATTCACTGGCTGTGGAAATGAAAACATTTTTTCTTTGAGTGAACCCTTTGACGGCATCTCTTTCCTCAAAAAAATTTTAAATATTTGTGTGTGTGTGTGTGTGCCAAAATATGCATAAAATATAGTATTCACATGATGTATATATGTGTGTAATATATTATATTACACAATATATTATATATTCACACATAAGATGTACATTTGTATATATACACACATAAAGATGTAACTTTTTCTCATGAACAAACTCAAATATATTCCTAACTCCACAGCACAGCCATATCAGGATGTACTGCTTAATTTCACCCTGCCCTTGCAAGCAAATCCAGTAAACAATACACAGAGAACATTTTTTAAAAGCCCAGTAATAACCATAATGTATAGTCTTATTTGTTCTATTTATTTTTCAAAATGTTTTCCAGTTTGATAGCCTTACCATCTGGGAGGACCACTGAATGAAAACAGAAAAATTTGTATATTTTGGAAACAGATCTAGGTTCTATTATTTACTAGCTGTATGACATTGGATATGGAATTTTACCTAAAACATGAGGAATAAATCCCTTACAGGGTTGCTGAAAAAGCTAAATATGATCACGTCAAATGCCTGAGTGTCGAGTGCAAGAATGGAGCTCTATGTTTTCATTACTTTTTCCCACTTTTGGTATTCGTCATTTAATTAGTGATGCAAACACTACCGGAAATTGGCTGAATATCTCACGGTATTCTTACTTATCCCTCTTCACTACTATTTATCTTTGTGTTAGTCTACAAATCCTCCACAGAAAACAGAGAAAAAACGAAGAATTCACAACTATATCTCAATATAGCACCAAGACTTACTTTTAAAGAAGTTCCTCTTCTAGAGACAAGGCATAAGTTTTAAACAAATACTAAATGTTATTTTATTTTGTTATAATCATTGATTAGTATTTATCTTATGTAAGAAAAGCTGCAATAAGCAATTGCAATATAACAAGTTGTATGTTGAATTAAATATGTTTAGGTAGCAAAGTCACAACTTTGAAACACAACACCTGAGGTCCAGAGATTTTAAAAATAAATTCAAGAAAAATAAGAATTTAACTTATAAATGATTTTTCATAATAAGGGTCAATGAAATAGCATGAAAAGTTGGTATCCACAGACATTCCAAAGTTTTTTATTTTATGAAATTTCTCCAAATAAACTTTTAAATAAAGTAACAAAAAAACTGATCAGAAGAACTTTTTTATTTTAAGCAGTTAGTTTCAAAATGGCCAAAAGAAAAAGAGACAAAATAAACTAAGCGATAAATAAGAAAAACTTTTTAAAAATGTCTTATTGTTATTGACAGCTTCAATAACATACTGGATCTGACCTTGAAGATAGGTCTTTTGAAATTACCCAATCAGTGGGGAAAAAAGCATAAGAATGAAAAAGAATGAAGACAGCCTATAGGAATTTTGGGACACCATTAAGTGAACAAACATTTGCATTATGAGACATCTAGAAGATACAAAAATAGGGACAGAAAGCTTGTTTAATAAAATGATTGCTGAAAACTTCCCAACTCTCAGAAGACGTATGGACATCCAGACACATGAAGCTCAAAGATCCCCAAATAGGTTCAGCCCAAAGACATCCCCACTGAGGCACATTATAATTAAACTGTCAAAAGTCAAAAACAGAGAATTTTAAAAGCAGCAAAAGAAAAGTACCAAGTGGCATACAAAAGAATGACCATAGATCATCAGCAGACATGTCAGCAGAAACCCTGCAGGCCAGAAAAGAATGGGATGACATGTTGAAAGTGCGTAAGCAAAACTGCCTGCAAAAATGCTATACCCAACAAAGCTGTTCTTCGGAGATGAAGGAGAAATAGTCTTTCCCAAACAAGCAAAAGTGGAAGAAAGTCATCACCACTAGACCTGCCCTACAAGAGATGCTCAAGGAAGTTTTTCAGGTAGAAATGAAAAGACAGTAATTACCAACATGAAAATACATGAAAGTATAAAATTCACTGGTAAAGGTAAATATAAGTAAACTCAGAATATCCCTATACTGTTATGGTGCTCTGTAAATCATGTATCTATCTAGTACAAAGATTAAAATCAAAACAGTCAAAAAATAAAATAGCTACAATAAATTGTTAAGAAATCCATAATATAAAAAATGTAAATTGTGACATCAAAATACAATTTGTGGAGAAAGAGCGTAAGTGTTTTGAGTTTTTGTGTGTGACTAAAGTTAAGTTGGTATCAGTATAAAATGGCCCGTTATAACTATAACATGTTTTATGTAAGCCTCATGAAAACCACAAAGCGCAAAAAGATAGCAAATACACAAATGATAAAAAGAAATGAATCAAAACAAGCCATTAAAGAAAATCACCAACTCACAAAGATAAACAAGAGAGGAAGAAAGAAACAAAGGTTTCTTTCTTCTGGTTTCTGGTTATTTTGGTTATTTCTGGTTATTTTCTGGTTTCTGGTTTCTTCAAAGGTTTCTTGTTATTTCTAAAATAACCAGAAAGCAGGCAGGGCATGGTGGCTCACATCTGTAATCCCAGCACTTTGGAGGACCAAGGCAGGTGGAACATGAGGTCAAGAGATCGAAACCATCTTGGCTAACATGGTGAAGCCCCGTCTCTACTAAAAATACAAAAAATTAGCCAGGCGTGGTGGCACGTGCCTGTAGTCTCAGCTACCCAGAGGCTGAGACAGGAGAATTGCTTGAACCTGGGAGGCGGAGGTTGCAGTGAGCCAAGATCATGCCACTGCACTCCAGCCTGGGCAACAGAGCGAGACTCCATCTCAAAATAAATAAATAAATAAATATAATAACCAGAAAACAATTAACAAAATGATAGTAGTAAGTCCTTACCCATCAACAATTACTTTGAAAGTAAATTAATTAAATTCTCCAATAAAAAACATAAAGTGGATAAATAAATTTAAAAAACAAGATCCAACTATATCCTGCCTATAAGAGACATAGGTACACCAAAAGTAAAGGGATGGAAGGAGCTATTCCACTCAAGTGGTAACCAAAACAGAGCAGGGGTAGCTATAACTATATCAGATAGAGAGTCAAAAATTGTCACAAGAGACAGAAAATGTCATTACTTAATAATAAAGGGTATAATTCATCAAGAAGACATAACTATTGTGAATATATATGCACCCAATATCAGAATACCTAACTATATAAAGCAAATAATAATGGACCACTAGTAACCAGAACTACTATGAAGGGAGAAATAGATTGCATTACAATAATAGCAGGGGACTTCACCACACCACTTTCAACAATGGACAGATCAACTAGACAGAAAATTAATGAGAAAATGCTGAAATTGAACTGCACATTAGATAACATGGACCTAACAGATATACACAGAACTTTCCATCCGATAGCAGCAGAATACATACTCTTTTCTAGTACACAGGGAACATTTTCCAGGATAGCCCATATGGTAAGCCACAAAACAAATCTTAACAAATTTAGAAAAATCAAAATAGTATCAAATACTGTTTCTGACCACAATGGTATGAAACTGGAAATCAATAAGAGAGGGAACTTTAGAAACTATAAAAATACATGGAAATTTAAACAACATGCTCTTGAACAACCATGGGTTAACTAAAGGAGAGAAATTAAAAGAGAAATTTAAAAATTTCTAGAGACAACTGAAAATGGATATATAACATACCAAAACCTGTGGAATATGACAAAGGCAGTACTCAGAAGAAAGTTAATAGCAATAAAGACCTATATCAATATAGAAGAAAGAGCACAAATACCCTAATGTTGCACCTCAAGGAAGTAAAAAAACAAAAACTAACTAAACTCAAAATTAGAAGAAATGAAATAGTAAAGATCATAGCATAAATAAACAAAAATAGACAAAAAATACAAAAATCAACCAAATGAAGGATTGGGTTTTTGAAAATATAAACAAAATCAACACTCTTTAGCCAGAAAGAAAGAAAACTCAGATAAAATCAGAGATGAACAAGGAGATATTACAACTGATGCCACAGAAATACAAAGAATTATAAGAGAATATTATGGACAACTACACACCAGGGAGTCCTAGCTGTATAACAGCTCACTCTCACAAGAACTAATCCAGGGTGTCCAATCTTTTGGCTTTCCTGGGCCACATTGGAATAAGAAGAATTGTCTTGGGCCACACATAAAATACCCCAACACCAACAATAGCTAATGCACTACACCAACAACAATAGCTGATGAGCAAAAAAAAAAAAAAAAAAAAACTCATAATATTTTAAGAAAGTTTACAAATTTGTGTCAGCCCGCATTCCAAGCCATCTGGGCCACATGTGGCCTGTGGGCTGTGTGTTGGACAAGCTTGAACTAATTTATTCCTTGACAAACCAATCCAGTCTCCTGAAAGTGAGAATTCGGTACTATAAGAATGGCACCAAGGCTTCATGAGGAATCCACCCCCATGATTCAAACACCTCCCACTGGGCTCCACCACCTCCCAACATCACTACACTGGGGATCAAATTTCAATACGAGATTTGATGGAGACAAATCATATCCAAACCACAGCAATCAGTAATCATCAGGGAAATGCAAATTCAAATCACAATGAAATATCACCTCACTCCAGTTAGAATGACTCTTCTCAAAAAGACAAAAGATACCAAGTGTTGCTGAGGATGTGGAGAAAGGAACCCTTACACACACTTTGTGGGAATGTAAATTAGTATAGCCATTATGGAAAACAGTATGAAGTTTCCTCAAAAAATTAAAATAGAACTGTCATATAATCTATCAATCCCACTACTTGGTGTACATTTAAAGGAAATGAAACAACACCTCATTAAGAAATTTGTGCCCACATGTTCCTTGTAGCATTATTCACGACACCCAAGACAAGGAAGCAACATAAGTGTCCATCAAGAGAAGAATAGGTAAAGAAAATGTGGTATATAGAAACAATAGAGTATATTCAGTCATTAAAAAAAAGTGAAATCCTGTCATTTGCAACAACATCCATGAACCTGTAGGACATTATGTTAAATGAAACAAGCTAGACACAGAAAGACAAGTACTGTATGATCTCACTCATATGTGGAATCTAAAAAAGTTTATCTCACAGGAGTACAGAGTAGAATGGTAGTTACCACAGGCTGAGGAAGAAAGTAGGAGACGGGGATAGGTTGGTCAACAGATAAAAAGTTATAGTTAGATAGGAAGAATAGTTCTGGTGTTCTATTGCACGATAGGGTGACTATAGTTGAGTGACAACAGTTAACAAGAATGTATTTTGTATTTAAAAATAGCCAGAAGAGTGGATTTTCAATGTTCTCACTACAAAGAAATAATAAATGCTTGAATCAATGGATTTGCTAATTACCCTAATTTGATCATTACACAATATATACATGTATACATGTATTAAAACATCACATTATACTCTATAAATATGTACAATTACTATGTCAATGAAAATAAAACTTTTAAAAAATTCTTATTGTTAAAAAAAAGCAAGTAAAAATTAAACCATACAGGAAAACACAAAGAAATAGAAACAAATCTAAAATGTCAACACCCAGATCTAACCATTAACATTTTGCTTAAAATCTTTATAGATAAATCTCTATATATTTAGAAGATATATTTAACTTCTTATATATAAGAAGTTTTTAAAATATTCTCATCAGTGAGATCACACTATTTATATTGTCACTTGCCATTTCCACTTACCATGTTTGAGACAATTTCCAAGGTCACTAAATACAGATCTTTAACAGTAGTTTAACACCTCACAGTATTTCACTGTAGCTTATTTAATGTAATTTATATAACTAAGTCATTTTTGTTGGAAATGTTTAGCTTCCCCCATTTTTGCTATTAAAATAATACTGCAATTAACGTCTCTTTGTGGACAACTTTTGGCATGTAATTTCCTAGAAAATGGATTACTAGGCAAAATTTTATACACATGTAACACTTTGGTACATATTTCCAAAAAGACATGTTATAAAATCACATCAATTTACTCTAAGTGTTGGAGAAGAACTCACCCAACAGCCACATACAAGAGTTTTGGGGGGTTAAGTGCATTAGAGTGTTGGATTTGTAGGATGAAGGATGGAGCAATAAGGTTTCATACAGCAATACAAAAGGTTTAACTTGCGCATTTCTTTTTTTTTTTTTAATAAGATGAGCTCTTGCTATGTTGCCCGGATTGGTTGCAAACTCCTGGCCTCAAGTGATCCTCTTGCTTCGGCCTCCCAGAGTGCTGTGATTACAGGTGTGAGCCACCACACTCAGCCTCCATTTCTTGCATATTTCTAAAATACTCAGAGGTCCCAAATAGCTTTTAATTTCTTACTTTTAATAAGTTGACAATTAACTATTATGAGATATCTCATTTTAGCACTAAAAATAAAAAATAAGAGAAGATGAAAATAGAAACTTGAAAAAATACTGGATTTTGTATATCTTAAAAAAATCTATCATTATTATCCTCAGATAAAAGATTTTACATCCATGATGAAAGAACAAGATCATCTTTAAAAAAAAAAAAAAACTGAGAAGAGAAAGAAATAGAGACATCAGAGAGGAAGAGACTAGCAATAAAATAATTGCAGAAAAACTCCCAGGAGAGACGGACATCAACTTGAAGATGAAACAGATTTATCAAACGCCTGGCATAGTAGGTAAAATAATTCACACCAATGTACATCATGGTAAGATTTTAGAACACCAAGAACAAAGAGAAGTTTTTAAAATATTCTGGAGATTTTTTAAAGGAACACCTACAAAGAACCAGCAAGCAAAAAAAGCTTTGAATTTTTAATAGCAACACTGATACTATCAGACATTGGAGTAATACCTCCAAAAGTCTGAAGGAAAGTAATTTCAGCCTATAGTTCTATATGCAGCCAAACTGCCAATCAACTAGAAATGTAGAAAAAAGAATACTTTCTGATGTAATAATTCAAAAATGTTATTTTCCTTTCATTTTTTTCTCAGGATCCAATACTGGAAAGGCAAGGGGAATCTCTAGAATGGTGATCATGGTTGAAATGGATCCCAGAATGAGTGTTGTCTATCAGGGACACATTAGAGCAGGATGGAAATTTTGTGGCCATAAAGAGAGCACACCTGTGTAGCTACTGTTTCTGCCAGACCAAAAAAAAAACCCAAAAATTATGGTGACTATAGATGGAATTCAAAGATAACTACATGACTGAGACTGATTGGTAAGACAATAAAGTGTCCTTAAAAATGGTTACACAGAAACCTCCTACCTCTCTAAACTGACATCCTTGTAAATGCCTTATGATCTCCATATATCAACACACAAGAGAAGATAGATCTGTTTAAGAATTCTACTACATTTATACACATATTTATAAATGCTGAGCATATCTCTGGGTCAATATTAAAGAAGCTGTCTTTAACAATGTTTGTTTTAAGCGGAGATCTGGGTCAATAAGGCAAAGAGGTATGACAAATAATTATTTTCACTTTTTTTTTTTTTTTTTTTTGAGACAGGTTCTGGCTCTGTCACCCAGGCTAGAGTGCAGTGGTGCGATCTTGGCTCACTGCAGCCTCAACCTCCCAGGCCCAAGCAATCCTCCCACCTCAGCCTCCCAAGTAGCTGGAACTACAGGTGCATGCCACCACATCTGGCTAATTTTTGTATTTTTTGTAGAGTTGGGGTCTTGCCATGTTGCCCAGGCTGGTCTTGAACTCCTGGGCTCAAGCAATCTGCCCCGCTTGGCCTCCCATAGTGCTGGGATTACAGGCATGAGCCACCAGACCTAGCCTACTTTTCACATTTACTCTTTTATTTTCCTGAGTTTTGTACCATGAACATGTATTAACTTTTTTAAAAATGTTACAACAAAATATTTTGTGTATACTTCAAAACAAGAGGCAGAACCATGCTTACATAAGCATTTGCCATCAAGTAAAAAACAAGTTTAAAATTCCTACTTTCAAAATTATTACGTAGCATTTTTTAATATGTATTAACCAATGCATTAAAAAACAAGAAAATAATTATCATTATTTGCAGAAAAAAATGATTCTAAATTTAGAAAACCAAAAGAAACCAAAAGCTATTGGAAACCATGAGAAAATTTAGTAAGAGTAAGGTGGCTGATTATAAAATTAACATACAATAATCCATAGCTTTATTAACAAGTATATTTTATCATATCTTATTTTACAGAAGCAACTTATATATTCTCCTTTAAAAGTATTAAATAAGAATATACCTGACAAAAAGTTAATTTTTTCTACTCCCCCAATCCTCATCACAGTCTTATAACCTAGATTGTATTATAATCCCCATTTTATAGATAAAGACCTAAGTATAAATAACAAAACTATGAAAGTATTAGATAAAAACATAGCTGAATCTGTCTTGAACACTTGAGTAAAGTAAAAGCCTTTCTAAGCATGTCACAAATTTTAGAAGCCATAAGAAAGAGTGGTAAATTTTACTACCAGAAATTAAAATTTTCTGTATAAACATGCTATAAAAATATCCAAAATACAAATTATAAATCGAGAAAAGTATTTGTAACATTAATGACAAAAGAATAATGTCCTTTATATACAGAGAACACTTACAAAACAAATAAAAGGCAAATAACCCAATAGAAAAAATGAGCAAAGAAATGATCAAATCTGAAGCAGAAATAAAAGGACCAACAAAACACACATACATACACACAATGCCCAGTCAGAATCATAATTACAGGATACAAATCAAATGAATGAAATGCTATTTTTTATCCAACAGATTGGCAAAGATTAAGCATTTGATGAAAGCTAATGTTGGCAAAATTTGGAGAAACTGATATTCCCACATACTACTAGTTGAATAAAACTGATACAGCATTTTGAAGGGTGGTTTGGCAATACAAGATAAAAATTGTATATGCATCTACTCTATGACTCATTTATACTACTTCTAGGAATTTTCCCTAAGGCAGCTATCACAAAAAGGCATAAAAATATATCTGCAAGGATGTTCATAGAAAAATTGAACAAAACTCAGGCCGAGCACGGTGGCTCACGCCTGTAATCCCAGCACTTTGGGAGGCTGAGGCGGGCAGATCACGAGGTCAGGAGATCGAGACCATCCTGGCTAACAAGGTGAAACCCCGTCTCTACTAAAAATACAAAAAAAAAATTAGCCGGGCGCGGTGGTGGGCACCTGTAGTCCCAGCTACGGGGGAGGCTGAGGCCGGAAAATGGTGTGAACCCAGGAGGCGGAGCTTGCAGTGAGCCTAGACCACGACACTGCACTCCAGCCTGGGCAACAGAGCAAGACTCTGTCTCAAAAAAAAAAAAAAGAAAAGAAAAATTGAACAAAACTCAAAACAACATTAATGTTCTCAGCACTAAACTGATTAAGTATGCTATATCCATACAATGAAATATTTTGTACCCTTTAAAATTTTAAGTATATGTATATACAGAACTATGCAAAGATGTCCAAGTTATAGATTAACTGAATAAAGTAAGTCATAAAATAATACATGTATTGTCTCAAGAGAGTGAATATATATGTATGTGTATACACACACATGCATGCACACACACTTATATATGCACAAAAAAATTCTGGAAACATACACAAAAAATGTCAAGAATACTTCTAAAGGTGGAATTGGAAATCGAGAGGGTAAGGCAAGAGATTTACTATTTATTTTGTGCCCCTCTGTGCTGCTTGATTTTGCTACCTCCTATCTTTTGTGCATAAAATCTTAAATCTATGGAGAAATGAAGAAAAGAAAGAGTTTGAATGTTCTGCAGGATACAGTTTTGCAACAGAATAGCAATTTAATGTACCTTTGTACTCCAGATCATCATTATTCCCAGACATGCTTCAGCTTTCAAATAAATAATACTAGAAATCCCACCCGCAGGTAACTTGTCTAAGATTACATTTGCCACTAAACCATCCATTAAGATGCAAAAAAAATTACATGAGCTAGTTTGGGCTAATTTCAGAGAGAGGCAGATAGTAAATCATTTCTGTACTCACTGTTTTTCTGACCAATATTCAGTTTTCATTATTTAGTAGTCTGGCACTCTGGGACTTCATGAAGTACTTGTCTAAATGTAAATATATGGATACTTCTGATTTAAAAAACAACAAAAAACTTCCTGGCCTCAAGTACTCCTTACAAAGGTTGAATGTTCCCAAATATGGGCAAAAAAATACAAGTCTGTATAAAATCAAAATTCCGATTTGGAGGAGTGATGTCACTAAGATGGTGGGGTAGGAGATACCAGCCTTCATCCCTCCACAACCAACCAAATATAGATGGCTATCCACAGATCAAAATAGCCCCGAAAGGGCTCAAGGGCCCATTAAAGAACCTGCAGCAACATAGTGGAGGAAAAAAATGGAGAATATCCCTATAGAAAGGATTGCTAGTGAGACTGGTATAGCTGAGATGCCAGGAAACAGCTGGGAACAAAGAAGAAGGGTGGAGGCTATCAATATCACCCATGTGCATGGAACCATCATGGTCCCCAGCAGCCTGCTGTAGAGAACATTGGTATCCTTTGCTATTGAGGTAATAAACAGCCATTCCTGTTGGATAACCCCAGAGAGTGAGACTTGGCTGCATATCCCTACCTGCCTCAAGAAGCAGTGCTGTTGAACCAGGAAAAGAGCTGCCACCTCTCCTGAACTCATGTGTGCCCTGACCCCCAAGCCTTGACCTCCCCATGAGGGACCTGGGCTTTATGGTTTCACTGTGCCTGCCCACATCTCAGAACCCAAAGCCATTACCATTGCAAACTTGTTCACACTTTGGGCCCTGAAGCCAAGGTCTCTCTGAGCATGACCATGCTCCAGGTACAAGCTTAGCCACTACAGAGAGCCAGACCCTGCCTCAACCCCAGAGCTACTATAACTCTACACACACCTGTGCTCCCATTCTCAGCTACCTGGTTGCTACACAAACCTCCTTACTCTTACTAACATGGCAGTGGGAATGTCTGCCCCCTGAGCACCAGTGCCATTGCTGCCCTAGATAACAGAGCCACAGGCCCTCCACACATGATCATGCTTCAGGCCTCAGCTCATCAGACATGAGTGTTACCTATCAGAAATTAGAGCCACCTTCATTTCAAATGAGCACATAAGGCCAGTGCCAAAACTGATTCCCTCAGGCACAACTTCCCCGGTGGGAGAAAAAGAGATCAAGAGAACCACAGCAGCCATCACCACCAAAAAACCCAATGACTCTTACCACCACTGCAGACATCCACATTGATGGCCAGTGAGGATCCCTCCAATCTTTGTCAATGTCAACCTCAGCTGACAGAGCTGCACAGAAACCATATGGCTATATTCTCACTGGTGCCAGAACTGCTGCACTCTCTACCAGGCAAGTGCCCTTGTGCCCTCCATCCCCAGAGGAGAAGATGGTCCCACAGTGAAACTAACCCATAAAGTCTGCAAGAGGTAACTAACTGACTGCTTCACTAAATATACAGACATCAATGTAATCCAACAAGAAACATGAAAAATCGATGAGGTATAGCAATATCAAAAGAACACAATGATTTTCCAACAGTTAACCCCAAAGAAATGAAGATACATAAAGTGTCTGATGAATTCAAAATAATATTTTTTTCTTTTTCTTTTTTTTTTTTTTTTTTTTTTTTTTTTTGAGATGGAGTCTTGCTCTGTCACCCAGGCTGGAGTGCAGTGGCACCATCTTGGTTCACTGCAACCTCCGCCTCCTGGTTTCAAGCAATTCGTCTGCCTCAGCCTCCTGATTTTCTAGGATTACAGGTGCCCACGACCATGCCTGGCTAATTTTTGTATTTTTAGTAGAGACAGGGTTTCACCATGTTAGCCAGGCTGGTCTTGAACTCCTGACCTCAAGTGATCCACCCGCCTCAGCCTCCCAAAGTGCTGGGATTACAGGCATGAGCCACTGCACCTGGCCAAAATAATTATTTTTAAAGAAGCTCAGCAAGCTTTAAGAAAATGCAAAGAAACAATTTAACAAAATCAGAAAAGAAATAACTAATGAAAATTAGTACAATGAATGCAATGAAATTTAGCTTCAGAATTTCTATTTTTAAAAGGCTGGGCTCAGTGGCTCATGTCTATAATTCTAGCACTTTGGGAGGCTGAGGTGGGAAGATTGCTTAAGGCCAGGAGTTCAAGACCAGCCTGGGCAACATGGTGAGATGCTGTCTCTACAAAAAAAAAAAAAATTTTAAGTAGCCGGGCATGGTGGTACATGCCTATAGTCCCAGCTACTCAGAATGCTGATGTGGAAGAATTGCTTGAGCCCAGGAGTCTTAGGCCACAGTGAGCTATAATTACACCACTGGGCTCCAGCTGGGCAACAGAGTGAGACCCTGTTTTAAAAAAATAAACAAAAAGGTAAATTGTGACATCAGATTCTAAATGTTAGAATCATTTAGCATGGGGAGGAGGGGTAAAAGTATAAGGTTTTTTGTATGATCAAAGGCAAGCTGCTATCAGCTTAAAATAGTCTATTATAATTATAAGACATTTTATGTAAGCTTCATGGTAACCACAAAGCAAAAACCAATAAAAGATACACTAAAGGTGAAAAGTAAGGAATCAAAGCATACCACTAGAGAAAATTATTTAATCATGAAGGAAGGCAGCAAAAGAGGAAAAAGGAAATGAAGGATCTACAAAACAACCAGAAAACAATTAGCAAAATAGCAGTAGTAAGTCCTTACCTATCAATTATTACCTTAAATATAAATGGATAAAATTCTCCAATCAAAAGATTGGATTAATTAAAAAAAAACAAGACTCAACTATACACTGCTTACAAGAGACTCACTTCACTTCACATTTCATGACACAAATAGACTGGATGTGGTGGCTCACACCTGTAATCCCAGAATTTTAGGAGGCCCAGATAGGAGGATCTCTTGAAGCCAGGAGTTTGAGACCAACCTGGGCAAAATAGCAAGACTCTGTCTCTCCAAAGAAAAAAAAAATTGCCAGGCATGGTGGTATGCAACTGTAGTCCCAGCTACACAAGAGACTGAGGTATGGGAGGATCACTTGAGCCCAGGAGTTTGAGGCTGTAGGGGTAGGGAGCTATGATCACACTGCTGCACTCCAGCCTGGGTGACAGGGCAAGACCTTGGTTTTTTTGTTTTTTGTTTTTTGTTTTTTTAAAAATGACACTCATAGATTGAACATAAAAGTATGGAAAAATTTTCATGCAAGTAGAAACCAAAAGAGAGCACAGATACCTATACTTACCTGATGTAAATAGACTTTAAGTCAAAAGTATGAAAATAGACAAAGACGGATATTATATAATGACAAAAGGATTAATTCATCAAGAAGATATAACAATTATAAATATATATGCACTCAACATCAGAGCACCTAAATATATAAAGCAAAAGTTGATAGATCTGAGGAGAGAGATAGACTGCAATACAATAATAGTAGCGGTCTTTAATACTCTACTTTTAACAATGAACATTAGATAGAAAACCAAAAAGAAAACATTGGACTTCAACTACACCTTAGACCACATGGACCTAACATTCAGACAGAGAATATTTCATCCAACATGAGCAGAACACATATTATTCTCAAGTTCACACAGAACATTCTCCAGGATAGGTCATATGTTAGGCCACAAAACAAACCTTTAAAAATCTAAAAAGATTAAAATTATATTAAGTATTTTTTTCTGACCACAGTGGTATAAAACTAGGAGTCAATAATAGATGGAATTTTAGAAAATTTACAAATATGTGAAAATTAAACAACATACTTCTAAACTATGAAGGGGTTAAAGAAGAAATTACAAGAAAACTTTAAAAATATCTTGAGACAAAAAATGGAAATACAACAAAACTTATGGGATGCAGCAAAAGTAGTTCTAAGAGGGAAGTTTATAGCAACAAATGCTTACATCAAAAAAAGAAAAAAGATCCCAAATAAACAATCTGATATTACACCTCAAAGAACTAGAAAAGGAAGAACAAACTAAGCCTAAAGTTGATAGAAGGAAGTAATAAAAAAAAGAGCAAAAATAAATAAAATAGAGACTAGAAAAACAATAAATGAAATGAGTGGTTTTTTCAAAAGATAAAATCAACAAACCTTTAGCCAGGCTGAAAAAAAGAGAAGACTCAAATAAATAAAATTAAAAACAAACGAGGAGACATTACAACTGATACCACAGAATTACAAAGGATCATAAGAGACTGTTATGAACAATTATATGCCAACAAATTGGAAAACCTAGAAGAAATAGATACATTCCTAGACACATAGAACCTGCCAAGACACAATCATGAAGAAATAGAAAACTTGAACAGAAAAATAGTGAGTAAATAGATTGAATTAGTAAATAATAAGTTTCCTATCAAAGAAAAGCCCAGGACCTGATGCCATCACTGCTGAATGTTTTATTTATTTATTTATTTATTTTGAGACAGAGTCTCGCTCTGTCATTCAGGCTGGAGTGCAATGGCGTGATCTCAGCTCACTGCAACCTCTGCCTCCCGGGTTCAAGTGATTCTCCTGCCTCAGCCTCCCACGTAGCTGGGATTACAGGTGTCTGCCACCATGCCAAGCTAATTTTTGTATTTTTAGTAGAGACGGGGTTTCACCAGGTTGGCCAGGCTGGTCTCAAAATCCTGACCTCAGGTGATCCACCCATCTCGGCCTCCCAAAGTGCTAGGATTTCAGGTGTGAGCCACCACGCCCAGCCTCTATCAAACATTTGAAGAAGAACTAATGTCAATCCTTCCCAAAGTCTTCCAAAATTCGAAGTGGGAAAACTTCTAAACTCATTTATGAGGCCAACATTACCCTGATATCAAAGCCAGAGAGGACACTACAATAAAAGAAAATTACAGGCTAATATATCTGATGAACAGAGATACAAAAATTTTCAACTGAAGATTAGCAACCTGAATTAAATAGCATGTTAAAAAAAACATATACCATGATCAAGTGGAATTCATCACTGGGATGCAAAGATGGTTCAACATAGGCAAATCCATAAATGTGACACACCTCATTAACATTATATGAATGAAGGACAAAAGCCATATAATCATCTTAATAGATGCAGAAAGTCATTCAAAAAAAATTCAGCATCTTTTCATGTAAAAACTCCAAATAAATTAGGTATAGAAGAAATATACCTCAACAAAACAAAGGCCATGTATGACAAGCCCATAGTTAACATTATACTCATGGTGAAAAGTTGAAAGCTTTTTTCTCTAATATCAGAAACAACACAGGAATGCTCACTCTCCTCACCTCTCTTCAACATAGTACTGGAAGTTCTAACCAGAACAATTAGTCAGGAGAAAGCAACAAAAAGTATTTGAAGCAGGAAGAAGTTGAATTGTCTCTCTTTGCAGATGACATTATATATATGTCTCTTTTTGCAGATTACATGATATATATTTATATATATATATATAAAACCCTAAAGACTACAAAAAATAAAAACTGTTAGAAATAATAAACAAATTCATTAAAGTTGCAGGATACAAATTGACATACAAAAATAAGTAGCATTTCTATACACTAAACTACCCAAAAAAGAAATCAAAACAATTTTA
The DNA here is from genome assembly GCF_000001405.40 of Homo sapiens. NCBI lineage: Eukaryota > Metazoa > Chordata > Mammalia > Primates > Hominidae > Homo > Homo sapiens. The sequence continues at coordinate 27,880,634 of NC_000012.12, read as the reverse complement.
TTCACAATAGCTATAAAAAATTGAATATTTAGGGACAAATTTTTACTAAGGAGATGAAAGATATATATAGTGAAAACTATAAAATATTGATGAAGGAAATTAAAGAAGACACAAGTAAATGGAAAGATATTCTGTGTTCATGAATTAAAAGAATATTGTTAGAATGTCCATACTATCCAAAGTGATTTACAGATTCAATGCAGTATCTATCAAAATTTCAATGAAATTTTTCACAGAAATAGAAAAAACTCTAATATTCATATGAAACCACAAAAAAAAAAAAACAACTAGCCAAAACAAGCAAAAAGAACAAAGCTGGAGGCATCACACTACATGATTTGAAAATCTGGAAACTATAGTAATCAAAACGGCATGGTACTAGCATTAAAACAAACACATAATAGAACAGAATAGGGAGTCCAGAAATAAATCCACAAATATATGGTCAGTTGATACAACAAAGATGCTAAAAATACACAGTGAGGAAAGGACAGTCTCTTGAATAAACAGTGCTGGGAAAACTGGATATCCACATGCAAAATAATGCAATTAGATACTCATCTCACACAGTATACAAAAAATCAGTTCAAAATGGATTAAAGACTCAATATATGACCTGAAAATGTAAAACTACTAGAAGAAAACATAGGGGAAAAGTTCCATACCACTGGTGTGGGAAAAGATTTCTTGAATATGACCCCAAAAGCACAGGAAACAAAAGCAAAAATAGGATTGCATCACACTAAATCTCCTGCACAGCAAAGGAAACAGTCAACAAAGTGAAGAGACAATGTACAGGATGGGAAAATATACTGGCAACTTATACATCTACCAAGGGATTAATATCCAAAACATATAAGGAACTCACACAACTCAATAGTAAGAAAACAACCCAATGAAAAATGGGCAACAACCACACTTCTCAAAAAAAGACATAGAAATGGCCAATAGGTATATGGGAAAATGCTCAATATCACTAATCATCAGGGAAATACAAACTAAAACCACAATAAGATATCCTCTTATACATGTTAGATTGGCCATGATGGCAAAGACAAAAGATAACAAACATTGGCAAGGATCTGGAGAAATATAATAGGAACCCTTGTACACTATTGGTAGGAATGTATATTAGTATGGCCAATATGGAAAACAAAACAGAAGTTCCTCAGAAAATTAAAAATAGAACTACCATATGATCCAGCAATCCCACTACTCAGTATATATCCAAAAATATAAAATCAGTGTATTAAAGAGGTATCTGCACTCCCATATTCATTGTAGCATTATTCACAATAGCCAAGATATGAAATTAACCTAAGTTCCCACCAAAGAATAAATGGATATACAGAAAATGTGGTATATAAACACAATGAAAAACTATTCAGCCTTTAAAAAGAAGGAAATCCTGTCATTCATGACCACGTGAATGAACCTGGAGGACAGTTAAATAATCCAGACACAGAAAGACAGACACCACACGGTCTCGTTTATATGTGGAATATAAAAAAGTTGAACTCAGAAACACAGAGTAAAATGGTGGTTACCAGAGGCTAGCAGGTAGGGAAATTCAGGAGATGTTGGTTAAAGGACACAAAATTTCAGTTAGGCAGGAGAAATAAGTTCAAGACATCTATTGTTCAACATGGTAACTACAGTTAATAACAATATATTGTGTACTTGAAAACTGCTAAAAGAGCAGATTGTTAAGTGTTCTCACCACACACAAAAAATGATATGCTCAATAGCTTGATTTAGCCATTCCACAAAGTATACATATATCAAAACACCACATTGTATACCATAAATATTTACAATTTTTACTTATCAAAAATAAATGTAATTTTTATACCCAAAAACCCCAATTTTCATACCTAACTATAACTCCTCTAACTACATATCTGATATCTAAGCATATGAAGCTCCTTTGTATTCATTATGAAGAATTTCACACTCCGCGGCAAGTTCAATCTAATTTTTTTTCTGTTGTCCAGCCCCAGTCAAGAGCTTCTCTCAGATAATTCATAGAGGATTGACGGAAGAATATTTCTCTGGTCAATTTATCTAAATTCCATCTTTTTTTTTTTTTTTTTAAGACGGAGTCTGGCTCTGTCCCCCCAGGCTGGAGTGCAGTGGCATGATCTCAGCTCCCTGTGAGCTCCGCCTCTCAGGTTCACGCCATTCTCCTGCCTCAGCCCCCCGAGTAGCTGGGACTACAGGAGCCCGCTGCCACGCCTGGATAAGTGTGTGTGTGTGTGTGTGTGTGTGTGTGTGTGTGTGTGTGTGTATTTTTAGTAGAGTCAGAATTTCACCGTGTTAGCCAGGATGGTCTCGATCTCCTGACCTTGTGATCTGCCCACCTCAGCCTCCCAAAGTGCTGGGATTACAGGCGTGAGCCACCATGCCCGGCCTATCTAAACTTCATCTCTATGCAAAGTCCAATTATGGTTTTACCTATAATATGGGCCCAGTTGCTCCCAGAGTGTGGTAGACAAGAGACACACTGCCCAGCTCCTCCTTCAAGGAAGGCCTTGTTGCCCAGCTGCTGGGAGAACTATCAGCAGACAGCCTCCTGCTGTTAACTTTTCAGGGATTGTCTCAGCCCCAGACCAGAGTCCGGCCCAATGTCACCACCTTTCAAGAGTAGTTCACAACAATGACCAATTGAGGAGTGGGATAAAGTCCTGGCCATTCTCCATAAACCATTTTAACTCTAGAACTTAAGATGGTTGGCCTTCGTCACTGGCCCTGCACCCAGTTTGACTTCTCCCTCAGCCCAATCCCACTTTCATCCCCTCCTGTCCACAGATGCTGATCTCAAGGACACACCCAATAAACATTCTCAGCACTACGCTGTCTCAGGTTCTGCTTCCTGGAGAACCCAAATTGTGTCATCAGGAATCAATTTGGCATTATCCCTTGGGTTTTTAATCGATACCCAGTACAAAAAAAGGTCAAAATGCTTCTGTCATTTTTTTAACTCATTGATGAACCACAGCAGTTTTCTCAAGGCAAGATAGACAGGGGCAAGACTAGCATCTAAGAGGATAAACTCTGGCAGGAGGGTTTCTGTAAAGAGACCTAGAACCCCTCATAGTTCAGGCAAATAAACAGTCACCATAAGGAGCCAAGAATAGAAATATATCTAATAAGCTATATTCCCCAGGGATGACAAGTATGGGGCAGAAATCCATGGGGATGTCAGCCCAAAGATAATAGGGTCCACGAAGAGCTAGAATTCTGGAACTGGGCTGTAGGCCTAGAGTGAGGAAAAGCAAAAGTAAGACAAGGCCTGGCCTTCGGATAGATTTGGATTTGGAAGAGTAACTAGGGTGCCAATGTAGAAACTCAGAAAGAGTGGAAAAAGGAGAAGGCCAATTATGCTACTGAGACAGGATTCAGATATATCAACACAGGTACCAAGCAAGGGCACCACAAAGCAGGTGGCAGCTGGGACTCAAGCCCCATGCACACTAGGGCACTGCATCCTTGATTGGAAAACACAAAGAGCCTGATTCTATACTTATTGGATAGGGATGTCATTAGGAGTCAAGTTCAGTGCCTGGGCCATAGTAAGCACTGAAAAAAACATGTTTCTCTCTTTGCTCAGTTTCCAGGAAGCTTAAAACCAAGCTGATGCGCAAAAGACAGAGGCTGTTCCTTTCTCTCATCAACTTCATATTCCCTCCCCTACCACCTTTTTAATTGCTTAAATTTTATTCTCTTTTCATTTAATTGTAACTTGCATCAAATCCTTTTGAAGAATATAAATAGGAAAATACATAAAAGCAAACAAAATTTTACATATAGTAAAAAAAGGTATCTCTTTATTGGAGAAATTTCCCATCCCTAGGACATCATTAAGGATTTTTGTAGTTAACATGCTTTCCATAACTTAGGCATAAGTTAGCTTTTAAATTTTATCCTTTTGTTTATTCATTTATGCATTCAAAAACACTGCTGACCTATGAAAACCCCAAAGTTTTCTAAAGAGATAGAAAAACTCATCCAACGATTCATATAGCATCTCAAAAGGACCCCAAATAGCCAAAACAATCCAGAAAAAGAATAAAGTTAGAGGTCTCACACTTCCAAACTCACTTACTACAAAGTTTTTCAAAACTTAATACAAAGTTATCAAACAATGTGGTACTGACATAAAGACAGACATATAGACCAATGGAACAGAATTGAGACCCAGAAATAAACCCACATGACATGGTCAAATGATTTTTGACACAGGTGCCAAGACCATTCAATTTAGTCTTTTCAATAAATGGTACTGGGAAAACTAGGTATCCCCATTCAGAAGAATAATATTGAACCCTTACCTTATAACATATAAAAAAAATTAAGTCAAAATGAATCAGACTTAGGTGTAAGATGTAAAACTACCAGACTCTTAGAAGAAAACACAGGGGGAAAGCTTCATGACATTGAATTTCACAGTGATTTCTCATGTATGACACCAAAAGCACAGATAACAAAAGAAAAATAAATTGGATACATCAAAATTTAAAACTTCTGTGCATCAAAAGACACAATCAACAGAGCAAAAAGGCAACCCACGGAATGGGAGAAAATATTTGCAAATCATATATTTGATAAAGGGTTAATATCCAGAATATAAAAAGAACTCCCACAACTCAATGATAAAAGGAGACAATTAAAAAATGAGCAAAGGATGTGAACAGCTATTACTCCAAGGAAGACATACAAATGATTAATAATTACATGAAAAGATACTCAAAAATGATGAATCATCAGGAAAATGCAAATCAAAACCACTATGAGATACCACTTCACACTCATTTGGATGGCTAGTACAATACACACACATACACACAGAGAGAAAATAACAAGTGTTAAAAAGAATGTAGAGAAATTAGAATTCCTGTGCACTGCTGGTACATATATAAAATGGTACAGCTGCTATGGAAAACGGCATGATAATTCCTCAAAGAAATAAAAATAAAACTGTCTTGTCCAGGAATTCCACTCTAGGTACATATCCAAAAGAATTGAAAGCAGCAACTCAAATAGATGTTTGCACATCCATGTTCATAGCCGGGTTATTCACAATTGCCAAAAGATAAAAGTAACCCAAGTGATATAGTTTGAATCTGTGCCCCAACAAAAATCTCATGTTGAGATGTAATCCCCAATGTTCAAGGTGGGGCCTGGTGGGAGGTGATTGTGTCATGGGGTTGGTTTCTAATGGTTTAGCACCATCCACCTTGGTGCTGGTGTTGTGATAGTGAGATCTGGTTATTTGAAAGTGTGTGGCGCCTCCCCAACTCTCTTTCTTTCCTCCACTCCAGCCATGTAAGATGTGCCTCTTTCCCCTTCACCTTCCGCCATGATTGTAAGTTTCCTGAAGCCTCCTGCTTCAGGAACCTGCTATGCTTCCTGTACAGCCTGCGGAACCATGAACCAATTAAACCTGTCTCAGATATTTTTTATAGCAATGCAAGAATTGACTAATACACCAAGCGTCCATTTACAGACTAACAAATAAATAAAATGTGGTGGATACATACAATGGAATATTATTATCCTTAAAAAGAAGGGAAATTCTGACACATCCTAAAACATGGATAAACTTTGAGGACCTTTTGTTAAGGGAAATAAGCTGGTCACAAAAGTACAAATGCCATATGATTCAATGTATATGAGATACCTAGAGCAGTCAAATTCGGGAAGACAGATGTAGAATGGTGGTTGCCAGGGACTGGGAGAAGGGAGACTGGGGAGTTACTGTTTTTTTTTTGTTTTTTTGTTTTTTTATTGTTCATTCTTGGGTGTTTCTCGCAGAGGGGGATTTGGCAGGGTCATAGGACAATAGTGGAGGGAAGGTCAGCAGATAAACAAGTGAACAAAGGTCTCTGGTTTTCCTAGGCAGAGGACCCTGCGGCCTTCCGCAGTGTTTGTGTCCCTGGGTACTTGAGATTAGGGAGTGGTGATGACTCTTAACGAGCATGCTGCCTTCAAGCATCTGTTTAACAAAGCACATCTTGCACCGCCCTTAATCCATTTAACCCTGAGTGGACACAGCACATGTTTCAGAGAGCACCGGGTTGGGGGTAAGGTCACAGATAAACAGGATAAGAATTTTTCTTAGTACAGAGCAAAATGAAAAGTCTCCCATGTCTACCTCTGTCTACACAGACACGTCAACCATCCGATTTCTCAAACTTTTCCCCACCTTTCCCCCGCTTCTATTCCACAAAACCGCCATTGTCATCCTGGCCCGTTCTCAATGAGCTGTTGGGTACATCTCCCAGACGGAGTGGTGGCCGGGCAGAGGGGCTCCTCACTTCCCAGTAGGGGTGGCCGGGCAGAGGCGCCCCTCACCTCCCGGACGGGGCGGCTGGCCTGGCGGGGGCTAACCCCCACCTCCCTCCCGGACGGGGTGGCTGCCGGGCGGAGACGCTCCTCACTTCCCAGACGGGGTGGCTGCCGGGCGGAGACGCTCCTCACTTCCCAGACGGGGTGGCTGCCGGGCGGAGGGGCTCCTCACTTCTCAGACGGGGCGGTTGCCGGGCGGAGGGTCTCCTCACTTCTCAGACGGGGCGGCCGGGCAGAGACGCTCCTCACCTCCCAGACGGGGTCGCGGCCGGGTAGAGACGCTCCTCACATCCCAGACGGGGCGGCGGGGCAGAGGCGCTCCCCACATCTCAGATGATGGGCGGCCCGGCAGAGACGCTCCTCACTTCCTAGATGGGATGGCGGCCGGGAAGAGGCGCTCCTCACTTCCTAGATGGGATGGCGGCCGGGCAGAGACGCTCCTCACTTTCCAGACTGGGCAGCCAGGCAGAGGGGCTCCTCACATCCCAGACGATGGGCGGCCAGGCAGAGACGCTCCTCACTTCCCAGACGGGGTGGCGGCCGGGCAGAGGCTGCAATCTGGGCACTTTGGGAGGCCAAGGCAGGCGGCTGGGAGGTGGAGGTTGTAGCAAGCCGAGATCACGCCACTGCACTCCAGCCTGGGCACCATTGAGCACTGAGTGAACCAGACTCCGTCTGCAATCCCAGCACCTCAGGAGGCCAAGGCTGGCGGATCACTCGAGGTTAGGAGCTGGAGACCAGCCCGGCCAACACAGCGAAACCCCGACTCCACCAAAAAAATACGAAAACCAGTCAGGTGTGGCGGCGCGCGCCTGCAATAGCAGGCACTAGGCAGGCTGAGGCAGGAGAATCAGGCAGGGAGGTTGCAGTGAGCCGAGATGGCAGCAGTACAGTCCAGCTTCGGCTCGGCATCAGAGGGAGACCGTGGGGAGAGGGAGAGGGAGACCGGAGGGAGACGGAGAGGGAGAGGGAGAGGGGGAGGGGGAGGGGGAGAGGGAGTTACTGTTTAATAAGCATAGAGCTTCAGCTTTGCAAGATGAAAAAGTTCTGTGGATGGATGGTGACAATGGTTGCAGAACAATGCGAATGTACTTAATGTCACTGAACTATACACTTGAAAATGGAAAAATGATAATTTTTATATTATATATATTCCTGCAATTAAAAAAACACATCATTGAGTACCCAAACATTCCCAGCCCTGTACAAGACTCTAGGAAACAAAAACACCCTCAGATAACTGACAGTATAGTGGGAGGAAAAGAGATAAATTATCACAAACCAATAGGCACCATGGTGGAAGTATTTGCAAATGTTTTGGTAGCCCAAGGAAGAGAGGAGGAGTCAAGGACTGAGTGTCTTATATGGATTTCATTTTATAAAACTAGCTATGGCCTGAATATATTTGTTGATTCATTTTTTAAAAAATACTTACTGAGTGGCTACTTTCGACCTGACATTTTTGTACGGAAATTACATTTTGTGTGAACAAAAATAACCAAAAGCTAGATCTGCCTTTATGGACCAGATTGGAAAATAATGAGATATTTCAGAATTTAAGATAAAGCTATTTCTCATGGGATCTCCTGGAGGTAAGAACAAGCTTCAAAAAAATTCTTCTGGTAACACTAATTGCCTGGATTTTATGATCCAAGAAATAAAACTGACTGCTCTTTAATTCACAATCTTTTCTTCCCCTAAGAACAGGGTCAACTTATTATTTACTTTAAAGTTCACCTGTTCTACAACAAACTGATCAGTTTTATAAACCAGTGTTTCTTTAGCATTAGTGTGCATTCGAGTTCTGGGGTTCTTAACAAATTTCAAGGGATCTGGGCAGGACTGAAAATTCTGCTTTTCTAACAAACCCCCAGGTGAGTCCATGTTGCTGGTCCCTGGAATACAATTTGAGCAGTAAGGTCATGGATAGCAATTGCACATACGTCCCCTTCCATCTCTTGCAATCACAGCTCTACACACAAGGCATATATGGAGCTGTGATTTCAAGTACTTCTGTGCTAGTTAAAACTGGTACTGCTCTATCCAACAACACTAAGTACAAAATCTTACCGCTTTTGTCAAAGTGAAAAATGTTTCCAGGAAAAAAGAAAAAAGCCTTTTAAGTTTGGATGAACCTTTATTTCTAATTATATGGCTTTCAAAAAAGAAAGCCTTAAGGGTAGGATTAGTTTTATATTCATCAACTGCTTTCACTCAAGGAAAATTAAGGGTTGCCTGAGTTTGACAGGTACTTAATTGTACCATAACAAAAAAAGGGCTTGATTTCCCCCCAGTCCACTATAATTAAATCCTTGCATATTCTTCAGCTTGTGAAGGGTCGCATGGGAAAGCTGAATTTTTTAATGTTGGAGGTTTTTTATAAGTTTAATTAATAAAATGAATCAAATCATTTTGTTTGGAAATAAACACATCAGCCCCCGGATGAGAAAAATCAATGCATGGGTACAAAAAGGGAGTACTTTTTAACTCTTATAATTTGCATAATTTCAACTCTGCCTAATTTGCCATTTTTTGTTTGCCCTGGCTTGTTAAATGAGCAAAAGTTATTAAATCTTAACAGATTGATCTACTCGTGTCAAAACATTATTCAATGCAGGCCTTCCCAGAAAGAGATGATTCTTTCCTGGAAGGTTATTTAGTAGTTTCAAGAAAATATCATATGCCCCAAGACCACATCTATACTTCTAAAAATCAAGGATTATCTATGAAACATACAGTTTTCATTGTTTTTCTGATTATAAATTTTTAAATCTTCGCATCAAGCCTGAGAACCTCAATGAGTAAAAACACTTTCACAACCTTGCTTCCACAAACTACAAAAAGATCATTATCTATTGTACTTAGTTTTTCCACTTTGAGGGGTGAAACGGAAATTCAGAGGCCAATTCTCTATCATTAAGTTGTACTTTTTCTTCCATTTTTCATAATATTTTCGTCAAACCTCATCAGAAGCACCATCCAATCCAACATAGGTTTCAATTCAGGCCTGTAGATGTAGCTGAGATCAAGGTATCAAGATTCGCAAGTGGCATTAATCCAGTCTCACATTTTCCCCTAAAACAAATCTGGTGCCAGAAAAGCCCACAAGATATGTAGCAAATTCCTCTGTGACCACAGATCTTCTCACTAACTCTCCTTGTTAATCCTTAAAAACTCTTTGAATGGCCAGCCGGCAGAGATAGCACAATATATGTATCCAGCTGGCTAACAGATGACTTATAATTGTGATCGTCTCTTATTTTTCTTCCTGTGACTTTAATTGAAATGATACTTTTATCAAAGTCTGTCATTGCTTTCTGACAATCCATGTGGATAATTATATTGTCCAGGATATTGAAGGAAACAGGCCAACCCAAAAGGAAATGGGATGCAGGCTGGAAGGAATCTGATGAGGATTCTAAACACCATCACCTCCGCCTCTTCGCTTGCTGCCTGTCTCTCGGGTTTCTATGAGAATCTGTCTTCTAGGTTTATAGGAACCCAGGCAAGAAGCAGAATGGGTTGAAAGTGTGACACAATGAAAATAGGGTGGAACAAATTATCTTTCGTGGCCCACAGATTGGATGGACTGTAGTGTGTGACCCTGAGAAGCCCTTGAGGGAACCAAAATATTCCCATTGAAAGTCTCCTTACATCTTCTCTCCTTCCCACTGGCTCTCTGAAGTGCTGGAGCCCGGCCATGGCATCAGAAGGGCAGGCTTCTAACCTCCTTCTGCCTACGGTCATCCTAAGAGCCACTTTCTTCCTGAAGAAAATGCAGGTGCTGACAAACTCCTCTTGTCACCCCATCATAATGTAGCAGACCAGTAGCCTGCCTCAGAGCTTCAAGGTGGATCCTCCTTCTTGCCTGTGCATAATCACTAATCATTTCTCAAAAATAGTTGTTGCTTTCTTAACTCATGAAAATTGAAAAGTACATCCCCAAGCTCCATTTTCCCCTAAGATGTTATTCAATGTTACTTAAGAACATTCTTAACACCTTTACTTTTCATTGTACTATCTTTCTCCCCATAGCTATAGACATCTCCAGAAATATTTTCTCTCTCTCTCTTAAAAGTCCAGGGAAGGTTTTTCAAATGATAACCAGGAGCTAGCTGTACACGTCCTCTCTCTTCCATCAACCTAGTAAAAGTTATGATTCAACAATGGATGTCTTCCTAGTCTAGCATTTACAATTTCTTACATTAGTTATACTAATAAAAACAATAAACCTTTTCTTATGTTTAAAGAATTGCCTAAAAGAGGCCATCCCTCAGTACAAAGAGAGGAATTTTTCCATTGCAAGGTTATTTTCTTGAAAAGTTTAACCGGACATGAGGTGCAGACTTTCCAGAGACGTGGGCCTCTCAGGGCTCCCTGCTTCACTCCTGCCGTTCAGAGCTTTGCATCAGTCACCGCCATCCTCCTGCTGGCACTGGAGACGCAGCCTCGGCTTGCTCCCAGGCCTGTCAACACTGCTCCCAGTAACTGCCAGAGAAGCCATATGGTATCTCCACACCCGCCCCTTGGGGCCAACCTTATTATCTCCTCAACCTATCCGCAGCAGCCCCAAGCAGGACAGGAGAGGAAGACCAAGTTTGGGGCCTGCGCGTGAGGTTGTTCCTATTTTTCTGCTATTGAAACTGCCAGAGAAAAAAGAAAAAGAAAGAGAGAGAGATGAGAGAAGTTGTATTCGAAGCACACTTGGCAAAAAGACACGTAGACTGCTATGAATGAGGCTTAACCCATTTGTAATTCAGTTACTGGGTTAGATCAATTCAGTTCCACACTCTCATGTCAGAAACGCCTAGGAGACGTTTCCTAATTCTAACAGTTTTGTCTACAAAATAATTTCTATATTTAGACATTAAACAGCCCTTTAAGTCTATTGTACCTCTTTTTTTTCTTCTCTTTTCTTTTTTTTTTTTTTTTTTAAGATGGAGTCTCTCTTTATCACCCAGGCTGGAGTATATTAGTGTGATCTCGGCTCACTGCAACCTCCGCCTCCTGGGTTGAAGTGATTCTCATGCCTCAGCCTCCCAAGTAGCTGGAATTACAGGCTCACAGCACCACACCCAGCTAATTTCTGTGTTTTAGTGGAGACAGAGTTTCACAGTGTTGGCCAAGCTGGTCTCGAACTCCTGACCACAACTGATCCACCCACTTCGGCCTCCCAAAGTGCTGAACAGGCACGAGCCACCATACCTGGCCTATTGTACCTTCTTCATAAATGTCTACAGCCTAGAGGAGAAGGGCTGCATACAATTTGGAAGTATTTCTGGAATTTGCTATTCAAAGGTGGTATAGTAAGGTAACTTTTTAAGTTAAAGAGAAAAATGTTACCTGGGCAAAATGTTGCCAGAGTTTTTAAAACCATTATAATTTTCCTATTTCAAAAAAAGTGTTCTGTACAATTTTTTTTTTACAAACATCCTTAAACAGGGCATTCAGTTCAGATTAAGAAAGTAGATTTTCACAGGAACCAAACTCCATCTGAAAAGCTGCTATTGAATATCAGTCTACTCATCCAGTTACTCTTATTTTTATTCAAATGCATACTTAGTTGTGGTCCTTAGCTATCAAAATTTAATTTTGAAAAGAGATACTTACACCATGTACTAAAAGACAAAATTGGAGATTCAAAATTATTTTTATGAGAGAATAATCACATGAAAGTCCGGATGTCTGACCAGACCACTGCTTTGGGATTTGATCTGGACTAATATTTCACCCTACTCCTCATCATCCACCCCACTCAACACCTCATACACTGAGAAGTCCTTTGAAAAATGCTGTGTTGAAGGGACTTTTCTAAAATGCTGAGAGACCACAAACTATATCTGGTTGGCCAGTCTGTTCCCCATACTCACTGGGCTTCATTAGGAAAAGATGCCAGAAATAGCTTTCCTACAGGATTTCCAGTGAAGAAACCACAAGAATGCTCTTTCTCATGGTATGGCAACTGTGCAACAATATGGCGTCATCTGGAAAATTACAGTCTTGGAGACAAATATTTTTCCCCTCTCCAGTGATTTAAAATAGACAGGGTGTTGCCCAAAAATTATGCTTTCCTCTCTCCAAGATGGAGGATTCTTCTTGGAAAGCTCCCCTTGGGGGCAACAACCTTTGCTGTTGGAGCCCCTTAAACATAAACACTCACATACAAAACTCCTTGGACAGTCCTCCAAGGATTTTGGAAACTACTCAAAACATGTCCATTGAAAAGAAGGCATATTAGAATATAGCACTAGATAACAATTCCTTTTTTCACTTGACAGCAATGCATACTTATAATCAACTTTCCATAGAGCTTAAATTTGTATTTTAGGAGAAGCATCAGCTTTATTTTAACAGTTATTATTTTTGTAACACTTACTTCGGATACATTTGTACAAAAAAAAAGAATACTGATCCTCAAAGAACTAGTAATCTAATTAGAAGAACTTATTGAATACAGGACATTTTTAAGGATTAAGAACATATGAAGAAAATTCCAGAAGTGTAAATAGTGAGTTTTATAAAAGCATTGTTACCTGATTCATAGCCGTATTCCCTGTACCTACTTAGTGTGGACACATAATAGATACTCAATAAACATTTATAGGAAGAAGAAAGAGAAGGGGACAGTGGAGTAGAGGGAAGGCCAAAGACAGGATAAAGGTTCAGGGTGGCAGAGTGCAACATGGTGGCAAAGGAAGCTTCCTTAACCTAGGGCTCAAGAGCTTTATTAATCAGAAGAAGTATCCCAGTCATTTGCCTTACTGAAGAAGGAGCTCTGCCCTGCTTACTGAAATGCGGTTTTTTTTCCTCTGTGATGGCAAATAAGACTGCGGGCTCTCAAGAGAACCCACCACCCAGTCAGGCTCCCACTCCCAAGACATTATCTATTTCTGTTTCTTCCAACACAGCGTTGAGTTACCCCACAACTACATATGAATATCCAAAGTCCTCCTCTATTTTGATTGGGTTTATATAGGTTAGACAAAGTTGTAATGTTTAAAAGTTTATAAATAAGTAATAAACATCCCAAGAGGAGTTTGCTTTCTATTTTGTTTTTAGGAAAGAGAGATTCTTACTCCTAAAACAGTGAGTTCGTAAGAAGGGATTTATTTCTAATTTTTAGCCTCTTAGCTACCAATTGCTTCCTGTACTTCTTGGAACTCTTCAATCTCTCACCCCAATGGCTGAGGATTTATTGAATTCCCACAAGCAAAAATGCAGATGCCAAGCTGATTGGAACAAGTGCAACACCAGCTCACTCACAAATAGAGACAAGTGATTATACAGATAGGCCACTTGAGTCCAGTCCCTCTGCAATGTGACACACACACAATCCGTAAGTCACTTTGGCTTCAGACGGTTCTCTGTGTGGAAATTCCCTGCTTGTCTTCAGAGTCAATACATCATCTTGGCAGTTTTCCCAAATGCCATCTGAAATCTCCAGAGAATGACTACATGGACGGCTCTGAAATGGCACCGTCTCAAGACTTTAGGTTGACATCAGTCCGGGGGAAAAGAAAGTTGTTTAATGACCAAAAACAAACAAAAAAAAAAAAAAATCAAGTGACCTAAAATACATTTTCTGGCAAAAATGTGCCTTTTACAAAGCAGGCTAAGGATGATAACAGGGTGGGGAGAGATGGAATCAGCAGTTAAGTGGATATCCGTCTGTCACTTAGCCTTCATTACATAGCATTAGACACCAGCGTCTGGCCAGCTTGGCACTCCGTCTTCCCACATCTCCCCACTGGCAAGATGCTTCCCCAAGGCCGATGGCCTCTGGCCACACCACTTCGGCCTGTGGTTCCATCAAATCTTACAAACTGTAAAGGGGCCGGACAGTACTTGGATGAGATCAGGGGTCAGTTTGGACTGGATTCAGGCCTGGTTCAACAAGGTTTTGCACAACTTACTCCTCCATCTCCCCCCTACCCCCACCCCCACCGCCCTTTACTTTTTCACTCTTGTGGTCTTTGAATTTTGAGCAGCCTTTTTTTTCTCCTCAGATCCAGATGAGCTTATGTTTTCCTAAATTCTTCTCACCCTTACCATTCCCAAAGTCTTCCTTCCTCTGCCATTCCAGTGTTTCCTCCCTTGCTGCACTTATATTTCTTTAAAACCAACATGATTGGCTGCAAGCAAAATAAACAGATACAGCTAACAGAATCATAAATCACCAAGTTGGAGAGTGAGATCCTTCCAGTTCAGGAAACCATCTCCCGGTTGGTTTCAGAGAAGGAGATAGAGGAAGAGAGCCTCAGTTTCACTTAAATGCGAAACTATTCCCCTATCAAATCCTCTGGGACTAAACAGAAAGTGTGTTAAGATAGATCAGATATTCAGACTGAGCACAGATACAGTGAATCAAAACCTTCTTCCCTGTTTGCACTTTATTTAATAAATATGAAAAATAAATGCAACTCACACTTTCTGAAGTTATGAAGAAATAATGAAAATGATTCCATGTGTTTGGGCACATAATGATAGCCACACGCCAAGGCTCACAAAAGCCATTTTCCAGCAAAAGTACACTGTGAATTTTAACTTTCCTCCTAGAAGATAGAACCGCCACACACACAAGCACCAAACATATGCACACATACAGACACACATACACACCATTCCAATTCCACAATACCAACCACAGAAAATGGTGGTATTGCAAAACCACCCAACTCTGCAAGCCACACCCAATCAGTCATCAACTTCTGGTGATTATATCTGCTAAATATTTCTCGTATCTGTATTTTTCTCCCCATTTCTACCATCTTTGGGTAGTTCAAGGATTATTAAACTCTTTCTGTAAAGGGCCAGATAATAAATATTTGAGGCCTTGTGGGCCAGAGCTTTGCTGCAACTGCTCAACTATGCCATAGCTGTGCAAGAGCATCTATAGACAATGAGCAAACAAACAGGCAGCAACTGTGCCCTATTTGATGTTTTATCCCCAGACCTTGGCCCAGACAGCATATGTAGGAGGTGCTCCATGAAAATTGACCTAAACTGTGAACAATTGTTACCTAGTGGTGATTAGTGAAGACTTTATATACCTTTATATCATTTAGAGGTATTTTTCATGAGCAAATTTCTTTTTTAATCAGAAAAAATAGATCTACATTAATGTTTAAATTAACATAGAAATAAATTAAGGTAAAATATGCATTTTAAGGCACAGAACTGGATTCGTATTAAAGGTACTGGTAGACAAAATAAGTTGAAATTAATAACCTATCTATATCAGACAGAAAGAAGTGCTACAAATATGAAAACATCTAGTAAATGCAATCATGAAGCAACAACTTCCTGTATCCTACCTTCAAGTTATCTTCAATCACTGTAAGTTAGATCAACGGGTATTTAGGTTTTCACTTGATATGCCCAGAATCTTGAGTAGAGTTCCTACTTAGTAACTTACAGAAAAAGCTCTATAAACATCAAATAATGACAAATCAAAAAAAGTCAAACTCATAGAAGCAGAGATTGTAATGATAGTTGCTAGAGGCAGGAGGTAGGAAAAACAGGAAGGTATTAGTCAAAGGGTATGAAGTTTCAGTTACACAAGATGAATAAGTCCTAGAGATCTACTGGACAGCGTAGTACCTATAGTTTGCTATACTGTATTGCATGCTTAAAAATTTGCTAAGAGTATAGATCTGAATAAATAAGAGAGTGGGAGGAAACTTTGGAGGTGATCGGCTTTTATGACATAGATTGTGGTAATGGTGTCCTGGTGGTGGTATGTGCTTATCTTCACCCTCAAACTGTGTACATTAATTATGCACAGCTCTTTGCATTTTAAAAAAATAAAGAATTCTAACCACCCAACAAAAAAAATCCAATGAAATGAAGTAAAATAAAATTGAAGTGTTTGCCCTCCAGGGCAAAAGCTATTATTGAATAGTTTACCTTCAGGACACTAATACTGCTACTCCTTCCAAATAACCCAGGATTATCCCTTACAGTCTGTCCACACTGGTAGGAAAATAGAAGTACTTATTCTGGAAGCTTGATTGTACTCCCACCAAATCATTTGTATACAATGAGATGTTTTTATTCCAGTAGGATGAGCCACTTTCTAACTCTATTTCTCTTCTTTCCCTGGTTCTTTTGATCCTGCTCATTGTTTTCATCTTCTCATTATTCTTAGTTAATTGATTTTCCAATCTGTTTTTCCTAGAAACACATTTAAGAGGCGTTTACACCAATTCGGAGCATTTAATGGTTCCCTCCCAGACCACACCCAAAACCACTACCACCCCATAAAATGTTGCTTCCATTACCTTCTCACCATTCAGGCTATTTCTCAGCTTTGTCACTTATTCTGTTTTGGTCTTTCACTCTAGGCGAATCTCTGTTTTTCATCTCGTTCACATGTACATAGATTTTCCCCTGACTTCTTGGCCTCTTCAAATGGACAACTCACTAAGAAGTCGGCCTCGCCTTTGTCTCCTTCCTAAGATGCTGCTTCTTGGATTAACCCCCTTGATTCCACACACAACAACCTATGGTCAAGAAATATCCTGGGCTTAGGCCAGAGTTCTCAGTAGGAACCCATTTTGCCCCACAGGAACCTTGATTCCCTCTGGTCTAAGAGAAATGATAAGATCATTTGGAGAAATCAGTCTTCTAAGATGTTACTAAATTATGTCATCTGGGTTCAAATATATCCTCAGAGAGCATGTTTATCACTGAATGACTACTGTAACTCAAAACACTCAGAACTCAGGATTTAGTCCAGCTGCAGTGGCTCTCACCTGTAATCCCAGCACTTTGGGAGGCTGAGGAAGAAGAAACACTTCAGGCCAGGGGTTCGAGGCCAGCCTGAGCAAAATACTGGGACTCCACCTCTATAAAAAACAATATTTAAAAAATCAACACTCAGGATTTTAACTTGATAAAAGATCTCACGTACTTTTAGGATTTAAGTGAATAAAAAACAAGGAAGAGAATTCAGTGCCTCTCAAGCCCAATTCAGAGGGACCTATCTCATTCCAGGTTCAACTTGGGAATTGGATTTTGATTGGGGTTAGGCCTGTGTGTTTGATCTTTTTTAAAGAAATCAAACTGGCCTTGGAACGTAGCAGAGATTGAGTTTTTTTCTCTTAGGAAGACCCATGAATCCTTCCAATCATTTTGTAATCCAACATGTAAGTTGGTTAGTATTTATTGAGTACGTGTTTGTTACGTGTTATCGTTCCAGATTGTTCCACTATCATGCCTGATAAACACAACATAGTAAGAAGCTGGGCCAGACTGGACAAACTTTACCCCCCAGTGATGCAATCCATGAGCTAGGGAGAGGACAGGAGGAACTCAAAGACAAAACTTCAATGTGCTCTTGGATAATAAAAGCACCTAAGAAGGCCTCTCGGGGAGATGCTCAAATCCTCATGAGCTGTCCTGGTCTAAATTGCCTTTGCCAGCTCCCTCAGCCCCAACCCTTCCATCTGTCTGAGCTGGAGGTGGTCTTGGATTCTGCTCTACAAGGAGCTGTAGGGAAAATAAAATAGAGATGGTTAACAACACTTGAATGTTCAACACACAACCCCTTTTTAAGAAATAGTTCAAAATCCGGGGCCTTCCAGCTGGGCTGAGTACAGCTGTTGTACCCTGAGTCCATGCCATCCCTTTGAAACAAAAAACAAAGCAGCAGTAATAAAAATAAAATTTGTACTTAAAAAAAATGTTGGTCCCTTCCCACTCATGTTTATGTATAAACCAAACACCAGCAAAACAAACTGGTGGTTAAACTGGCATTTTAGTTATGAGCCATTGCATTAACTAAACAAGCTATGGGACACCCACAGGCATCTCTTATTTTTATGGTGCCGCATGGCAGAAAGGCCCAGGTAGGTGTCCAGGTACCCTACGGCTCACAGAGAGGCCTGGACCTTCACTATGTCCACAGAAATTCATCTTCGTAAAAATCATAAGAAAATTTAGAAGCTTCAGGAGGAGAAACCCCTCCTAAGCTCAGCTTCCTAACTTTTTTGGAGAGAAAAAGAAACTCCAAAACATGACTTTATGACAAGATTGAAGCTATTTTAAACTGCTGGTTCCCACTCTGATCACCTAACTCAGTTAATTCTCTCTCTTACAAGAGATATGAATGGATCGATGCCTATCTGAAAACCTGTTCTTTCTCAAGCTGCCTTTGTTTTTGCAGGCTGCTGGATGAGGGGATTTCCTAACTGACTTAGGAAAATGTAGCTCAAACTGATGAAACCATGTTCTACTTATTATTAGACCCAGAGTGCTAGAGAGAAAGTGTGACAACCAACAGCTGTCCACAGCTGGCCTTTGAAAAACAGCTTCTTGAAATTAAATGCAGCAGCTGCAAGCGCCTGGCCAGCAGCATTCTGGGAAGTCACCTGTGTCAAGGCAGAGACAAGAAGAGCCGAAAAGATGAGTGCTCAGGGGAAGTGAATCGTGGTTTTGACTGGCGTAACCAGTCCCATTTGGGTTAAGAAGTCAATGGAAAAATGATCCTTCCTCAGTTACTTTTATTTTGTTTTTGTTAAAATTTCTTTTGGAAAAATTAAACATCTGGACCTCTTTATGGAAATTGTTGTTATGGTCTCCGGAAAAAAAAATACTTTTTTTTTTTTTTCACAGAGTTTGAATCAATTTGGCCAGGGAAGGCCTGGGGACATAGAAAGCCCCAACACAGGATGATTGCTTCTCTAGCCTTCAAAGATTCTGAAAATAAACCTTCTGCGGAGTACATTCTGGGTCATTGGACTAACAAAGCAATTGTTCCAGTCTTGAGAGGCAAGATTTAACAGTTGTCTCTAACAGGAAGGCTCGGTTGTACCCAGCAAAGATACGAGCCCCTCTTCCCTAGACAGGAAAATTCCCTCTTTGGTTTGAAGTTGGTTGTTTGTGTTGCTAAGTTGCTGGCATAATATTTTTTTTCCTGCAGTTGATGTTTCATATTTGAGAATGGGAGAAGAAAACAATATATTTGTGCATTTTTCAATCAATATCTTTCTTTAGTGAAGTACATTTGGTAAAGGAGATGTCTTTAGGGAGGATTTTGTAACCTCTCACTACCATTATTGTTGGGAAAAGGTTGTGGGAGGAAGTGGCTTTTTTTTACCCTCTATGTGTGCTATACTCTTTCATCCTGAGTTCTGAGTTTAAGGAAAAGGAGACACCTTTTTAAACCCTTCTAATGGGAAGTGCAGCATCTTCTTTAATCCAGGCAGATGTTCTTGATTCCTACCAGATCTGAAGTCCCCACCACTCTTGCAGGCTGATTTTGGAGCTCATTTTGTGAACTGAGGTCATCATTCCTCAACCCTGACCTACAGGGAAGCTGTCATAAGGAAGATCCGTGAAGACAGGAGATGTGTTCCTGCTTCTTCATTCTCCCACTCCAGTGCTTTATGCACAGTAAATACTCAATAAAGCTTAATCTAAAACACACAAGTTTAACTCACTTTGGGTAATCACATGCACAGAACTTTTTCCATGGAATCTTATCATTTCATTTTTGTTTTTTCAACTCATCCCTGAAACAAATGGCTGGAACTCCAAACACGTGTATTTTTCCTCTCGAAAGTTCCCCATCAGTCAATTTGAAATCATATAGATTTACAAAAGGCTTAATACCATCTATGAATGAAAGTTCTTATTTGCCTATGATCTTTCTATTCAGTTTCATTTTTTAAAATGTTCTGTTTGTAAGTGTATCCTATTGAAATGCCAATATTCCTGGGGAAAATGTCATGTTAATAGTATCAATAGTCACCCTGGAAGTGGAGATTGGTTGAAAGATGGTTAAGAGCAAGTCACTATGGGAAGGAACACAGTGGGGGTAACAACAGAAATGGAACAGCAGGGAGGGGCCCCAGTGCAAGGGAACAGGGAGAAGGCCACTTGAAGGGGAAACAGGATGGTTTCTAAATCCCAGTTTCATATCATTTACACTTTACATAATTGACAGCTGTGCTAGAAGTCAGTCCTGCTCTTACCCACAGGGGATACATAAGGAACACTTTGAACTCCTCAGAAGGAAAGATTTTTAGTAAATACAAAATATGATTATCATTACATCTGCTTCCTAGAATAGAAGAGGGACTTTCTATCCAGGTGTCTGTTATCCCTTGGTGTCTCTTGAGTTAAGGGGACTCACTTATAATTCCATGTTTGTTTTGAGAGATTATAGAAGGGTAGCATTGAGAGAAGACGGCAGAAGGTAAAACAAAGAATATGGCAGCAGACGCAGAAGGATATAAGCAGTTTATACATTTCAAATCGTTCACCCTCAAGAGACTGGGGAGAACAAGAAGGCTGTCTTAGTTCAGATTCTTCCGGAAGCAGATCCTGAGACAGGGATTTAAGTATAAGTTGTTTACTGGGGAGGTGATTCCAAGAAGTACCACTGGGGGAATGGGAAGACAACAGGAAGCCCAGAAAGCCACAATAGTTTATCACTGTGAGCAACCGACAGTCAATCCTGCTGAGTAACTCTGGAGAGGGTAGAATAGGCCTCCAAGTCATTCCACATGAGGAAGGATATCCATCCTCCAGTGCTCACCCTGCCTGCCCAAGGGCTGCTCCCACAGACATTCACTCCCTGACATTTCTGGCCTGCCCTACTTGTGGAACGAGAGGCAGAGAGTCACAGGTGCTTGAAGGAGGTGCATAGTGGAACAGTGAATGTTGTTGAGATGTGGCAAGAGGTAGGGGGTGTATGAAAATCCAGAGCCAATTGGATTGACCACAGAGGTCATGAGAAGGCCATGTAGGCATCCACAGCATCATATACAAAGTCCTAACCAATAAGTGCTCCATGTCAGTATAGGGTCTTCCAATTTGTGTTCCAATGTTCCTACTTTTCCCTCTCCTTGAGACTCTCCTCTACATTCTTGGCTTCACCCAACACTGCAATAATGACTCCCAAATCGGCTCCTTTTGTCTGTACTTCTCTGCTGAATCCTTGTTCCATCTTTCTATCGGCTTAGTGAGCATCTCCATCTGGATAAGAGCATCTCAAACTCAGCACGCCTCAAACTCTCTTCTCTCAAAAACCCATTTCTTCTTTTGTCCTTTCTAACTCAATCAATGGCATCACCATCCATCTATTCACTCAAGAAATTTTGAAGTCATCTTGATTCTTCACTGTCTTGTTCCCTTCAATCCAGTCATCAACTCCCGGACAGCCTATCTCCTAAATATCTTTTAATTCACCCTACTCTTTCCAGCTTTTCTCTCACTGTGATTTTTTGTCATCATCATTTGTCACCTAAACTACCATGACATCCTCCTAACCGGCCCCCATCTCCATTTTCTATCTCTCTGCAATCTCTTCATCCTGAGTATCCTTTACACTACTACCAAAAAATAATTTAAGAACCCTGAACTGATTACCTTTATCTTTGTTTAAATTATTCAATGAGTTTTCTTTGCCTTCAGGACAAAGCCCAAACTTCTTAATAATTATGGAAGGCTGCCCAGGCACAGTGACTCACACCTGTAGCACCAGCACTTGGGAGACTGAGGTAGAAGGATCCTTTGAGCCCAGGAGTTCAAGACCGGCTTGGGCAACATAGCGAAACCCTGTCTCTACAAAAAATTAAAAAATTAGCCAAGTGTGGTTGTACATGACTGTAGTCCCAGCTACTCGGGAGGCAGAGGCGGGAGGATCAATTGAGTCCATGAGTTTGAGACTTCAGGGACTCTGATTGCAATACCGCATTGCAGCCTGGGCAACAGAGCAAGACCTTGTGTTAAAAATAATATTATTATTATTATTATTATTATTATTATTATTGTTATTATTATTATTGAAGGCTCCTGACAATCTGGTTCTAATCTACCCCTCCATCATCATCTTTTTCTTTGTCTCTCCTTTGAGTCAAGGTTCTTAATTGCAAGTAATATAAATCAACACTACATTATTTAAGAAGCAAAGCAATTTACTGAAAGTATCTTGGGGAGCTCACCAAAACTCTGGGAAGACTGAAGAGCCAGCCTCAGAACACAGGTGGAGACAAAGGGAGGCTGGCAGCCAGAACGGCAGGCAAAACCATGTTACCAAAACAGTTCACCTCTTCCAGCCACCTCTTCTAGCAAATGCTAGACACTGCAGCTGGCACCCAATGCAGCCTTGGGCACTAGGCACTGCTGCTTGTTCCTCTAGCACTGTAACAAGCTGGATATTGCTTGTCACTGCCACCTCCAAAATGGATTATCTACCACCATTCTTATTTGCACCCATATTCAGTACCTTCTGAGTAAATGTGACTGATTGGCAGCCATTGTGAGGCCACATTACCATTCCCTGACTGCCACAGTGTCCAGAGAAACAAGTAGGTGGCTTTCTCAGCCTTGCACTGGGAGGTGGCTTCAGCTTCCCACCAAGGTTCATGAGAAAACAGAAAATGAGTTTATATACTAGGCAACTGCTTAAAAATGATGATTGTAGCCAGAAGCATCACACTGTTTGACTTCAAACTATACTACAAGGCTACAGTAACCTAAACAGCATGGTACTGGTACAAAAACAGGCACATAGACCAATGGTACACAACAAAGTACTCGGTAATAAAACTGCACATCTACAACCATCTGATCTTTGACAAACCTGACAAAAACAAGCAATGGGGAAAGGATTCCCTATTTAATAAATGGTGCTGGGAGAACTGGCTAGCCATATGCAGAAAATTGAAACTGGAACCTTTCCTTACACCTTATACAAAAATTAATTCAAGATGGATTACATGCAAAACCAAAAACTATTAAAACCCTAGAAGAAAATCTAGGCAATACCATTCAGGACATAGGCATGGGCAAAAAATTCATGAGAAAAATGCCAAAAGCAGTTGTAACAAAAGCAAAAACTGACAAACGGGATCTAATTAAACTAAAGAGCTTTGCACAGCAAAAGAAACTCTTGTCAATGCAAACAGATAACCTACAGAATGGGAGAAAATTTTTGTAATCTAACAATCTGACAAAGGTCTGATATCCAGAATCTACAGGGAACTTAAGCAAATTTACAAGAAAAAAAGAAAACACTAAAAAGTGGGCAAAAGACATGAATAGACACTTCTCAAAAGAAGACATACATGCAGCCAACAAACATATGATGAAAGAAAGCTCAACATCACTGATCATTAGAGAAATGCAAATCAAAACCATAATGAGATACTATCTCACACCAGCCAGAGTGGCAATTATTAAAAAGTCAAGAAACAACAGATGCTGGCAAGGTTTTGGAGAGATAAGAAGGCTTTTACACTGTTGGTAGCAATGTAAATTAGTTTAACCATTATGGAAGATGGTGTGGTGATTCCTCAAAGATTTAGAGCAAGAAATACCACTTGACCCAGCAATCCCATTACTGGGTATATACCCAAAGAATTATAAATCATTCTATTATAAAGATACATGTTCATGTATGTTCATTGCAGGACTATTCACAATAGCAGAGACATGGAATCAACACAAATGCCCACCAATGATAGACTGAA
The DNA here is from genome assembly GCF_000001405.40 of Homo sapiens. Classification (NCBI taxonomy): domain Eukaryota; kingdom Metazoa; phylum Chordata; class Mammalia; order Primates; family Hominidae; genus Homo; species Homo sapiens. Next base: position 27,856,806 of record NC_000012.12, on the reverse strand, counting down.
TAAGGAAAATGTGGTATATATATACCACAAAATACTATGCAGCCATAAAAAGGAACAAGATCATGTCCTTTGCAGGGACGTGGATGAAGCTGGAAGTCATCATCCTCAGCAAACTAATGCAGGAACAGAAAATCAAACACCACATGTTTTCATTTATAAGTGGGAGCTGAACAATGAGAACACATGGACACAGGGAGGGGAACAAGACACTCTGGGGCCTGTTGGGGGAGGCTGGTGGGGGAAAGCATCAGGAAAAATAGCTAATGCATGTTGGGCTTAATACCTAGGTAATGAGTTGATAGGTGTAGCAAACCACCATGGCACACATTTACCTGTGTAGCAAACCTGCACATCCTGTACATACACCCCAGAAAATAAAATAAAAAAGAAAAGATACTTCAAAAAAAATGACCATTGTGAAGGAAAATACTTTTTCCCATTCTTAAACTTCAAAAAATAAGTGTTTCTACTAACACAATGCAACTCTGTCTATACATACACACAAATACATTCAGACTCTCTGTAAAGAGAGACAACCTAAAGTCACATTAGTACAGATATTGTTTAGGGTCTAAACAAAATGAGTAGATGAGGGGGACATAAGGATAAATGGTTTCTTGCAAATTAATCCCTTAGGTGAGAGAGTTATGTGAAATAACACTCTAATCAGAAAATGAAGAACATTCGAATCAGAAAGAACACTCTAATCAGAAAATGAAGAAGGAGCTTCTTTGAATGATATATTTTCTATTGTTGCTGTAACAAATTACCAAAAATTTGGCTGCTTAAAGCAACACAAGTTTATTGTTTTACATTTCTTTCTGCAGTATAAAAGTCCAACATGGATCTCATTGAGCTAAAATTAAGGTGTTGGCAGGGCTGTGCTCCCTTCTGTGAGTTCTAGGGAAGAATCTGTGTCCTTGCCGTTTCCAGCTTCTAGAAGCTGCCATCATTTCCTAGCTGTGCACCCACTTCCTCCATCTTTGAAGTCAGCAATGTTGCACCTCTCTTTGACCTATCTTCCATAGTCAGATCTCCCTCTGGCTATAGCTGGGGAAGGTTCATTGCTTTTAGGGATTCACATGACTAGATTGGGCTCACATGGATAATCCAGGATGGTCTCTCCATCTCAAGGTCCTTAACCCTAATCACATTTGCAAAGTTTATTTTCCTTTATAAGGGAACATATTTACAGGTTCCAGGAATTAGGACGTGGACATTTTTATCTACCACAGCCGGCAAGTGAAACTCAGGTGAGGTTATATATTCAACATACCTGAATTCTCCTTTCAATTCTCTGGATCGCATTATTTCCCAACGCACATCTTTACTATCAAATAAGAGATTCCATAAGGTTGCAAATTCAACTGATATAATTTAGCAACACACAGGATAAAACTGTTTGGTTTGGCCAGATGTGGTGGCTCATGTCTATAATCCCAGCACTTTAGCAGGCTGAAGAGGCTGAGGCTGAGCAGGAGTAAGCCTGGGAGATGGAGGCTTCAGTGAGCCAAGATCGCACCACTGCACTCCAGCCTGGCTAACAGAGTGAGACTGCCCCGTCTCAAAAAAAAAAATTAGTGTGTAGCGACCTCAGCTCTGTAGCTGCAACAGATGATAAAATATTTTAGCACAATCATAGAAATTTCCTGAATTTCAGGGTGTGGTTCTAGGCCAATAATTCAGGGCCTTGAGCTTCACATTCTCTTTAAGCTATTCAGGGCCCCTACAAGCAATCCACACACCCATGGGTGTTAAATTTTTCATGCTCTTCATCTTGGTCTATGGTAATGGCTTTCAAGGTGCACTTTATTCCAGTTTATTACAAACCATAATTGAATTAGTTATTTCCCTGTTGTATTACATAAGCTAGAGTTTACCAATCCTTAAATTCTAACTGGATTTTTCACAGCTTTTAGTCCAATAAGACCCAAATTCCCCTACGCTAATTTCCCTGACACTTTGTGGCTACTTCTTGCATTATTAGCCAGTATGCTTAATTGTAAGCAACTTTTATTTAAGTCAAAAACACATTTATTACACCACCCAGGGTTGTTCCCAGAATTGCTAGAAAGGCTTGAGAACAAGGGTCAGTAAATTAGCTAGAACCAAGATTGCCAAGGAAGCCAGAATCACAGCCAAAATAACCCCACAGAACCAGCCTGGTGATGAAGGCAGTGGTAAAGCCACCAGCCACCAGTACTAACCACTGGATACTGCCACTAACATCTTTATCACTGCTGTCATTCTTCCCAGAATGAACTCCTTCCCTCCAAGTTTCTTTGCTTCACTAGATCAATATTCAAAGTCCTGAGGGGAGGTATTTGACTGGGCAAAGGTAGAACACATTTCTCTATCTTGGTTGCCTGAAAGAATAGAAAAGCAAGGGGTCGGCCTCTTTGGATTATCACAGAGAGGTATTCATACCTTGTCCGTACTTCTAAATGGAAACCTTATCATTTGATATTGTAATAATATATACAGTAAGTTCTTAATGTTATCAATAGGTTCTTGCAAACTGTGACTTGAAGCAAAATGACATACAGCAGATCCTTGAATAATGTCTTTTCATTATAACATCAATGAGGAGAATAACTGGGTTTTTTGGCCGGGCTCAGTGGCTCACACCTGTAATTTCAGCATTTTGAGAGGCCAAGGCAGAAGAATCACTTGAGCACAGGAGTTTGAGGCCAGCCTGGGCAACATAGTGGGGCCTCATCTCTACAAAAATACTTTTTTTAAAAAATAGCCAGATGTGGTGGTGCACACCTGTAGTCCCAGCTACTCAGGAGGCTGAGGCAGGAGGATTGCTTGAGCCCAGGAGATCAAGATTGCAGTCAGCCAAGACCACGTCACTACACTCCAGCCTGGGTGGGAGAATGAGACCCTGCCAAAAAAAAAAAAAAAAACCACCAGAAAACTATTTTCATTACATGTCATTTCATGTAAAGTTGTGGTTTCCAAGAACCCACTGAAGATAGGTTAAGTGAGGACTGTATATTATGAATCTTTCCCACTATATTGACACTAAAGGACAGGTACCATCTCTTAACTTCGTGTCTCCAGAAGCTACGACAGTACCTGGGACCCAATAGGCTCTCAGTAAATGTAGAATAAATGAAATTGTGAGGGAGGTAAATTAATTTCAAGGTTTTCTTATAATCTAAAAAAAGAGAATTGACCAGGGAAATTAGGAATCAAGGATAAAATGTATGACCATAGAATACTACGCGGCCATAAAAAAGAATCAACTCATATTTTTGGCAGCAACATGGATGTAGCTGGAGGCCGTTATCCTAAGGGAATTAACACAGAAACAACAAACAGAATACTGCATGTTCTCACTTATAAATGGCAGCTAAACATTTGGGTACACAGGGACAAAAATGGGAACAGTAGACACTGGGGACTCCAGACACAGGGAAGGAGGGAGAGGAGTAAAGGTTGAAAAACCACCTTTCAAGTACTACGTCCACCACTTGGGTGATGGGATCGATAGAAGGTCAAACTTCCTCATCATACAATACAACCATGTAACAAACCTATACATATATCCCCTGAATCTAAAATTAAATAAAAGAAATACAAATTAAAATATTAAATTTAAAATAAGTTTTAAAAAGGATGAAGGGACCAAGTGCAGTGGCTCATGCCTATCATCCCAGCACTTTGAGAGGCCAAGGCAGGAGGATTGCTTGAGGCCAGGAGTTTGGAACAGCCTAAACAACATAGTGAGACTTCATCTGTATTTAAAAAAAAAAATGGCAGGGATGAAGGGTATGGACGGTAATAGGAAGAAGCAAGTCTGACTGTTGTGGGAGTGTGGGGGAGAAGGGGAGTAGGTAGGATATGCTTATCTGTATGTGTGTGTTGGTGAATCAGATGGGTGTTACAGAGAGATGGAGAGAGGCGGAGATGAAGTAACAGAAAATAACTGCAAACAGAAGATGAACACTGGACTCAGCCAGTCTACTGTGTATTAACACAGCTCCAAAAGCCCAAGTGACCTGGAAAAAAAATTACTCAAAACCTAAAAGGAATTATCACGTTGGTAATCAAGAAAAGGGCATAGCACTGATATTATACTTTCGAGGACTATTAATGCCCAATGCCTTCAGATTATTTTCCCTAAAACAAAGGTTTCATTATGAAACTCCCCACCCAGAAACTTTCAACAGCTCACCAATGTTAGAGAATAAAATTCATATTCCTTACTGTAGTATTCAAGGCCTACACAGTCTGTTAACACTCTGATACTCTTCTCCAAAAATGCCTTCCTTGTTTCTATCTCTGCAATTTTTCTTAAGCTGTTTTCCTTTTGCCATTTAAAAAGTCTGTCCTTGCCTCTTCAACTAAACAAACCCTAATCATCCTTCAAGACCCAAATTAAGAGTTTTTTTCTTCTTCCCAACTTTACCAACCCACTCTTCCCTTAGAACTCCTGTAGTAACAGTCTCCAGTATCACCCATTTCTCCCTGAATCTTTTAGACTCTCAGCAATGGCAAGTCATTCAGCATTTGAGTCATTCAGCAAGTCATTCAGCATTCAGCATGCTACCACCACATTACAACCAGAAAATCCAATGGCAAGACCATGATGTATTCTTCCTCATATTCTCATGTCTTGATAATGCTAAAAGTTATCTTAAATAAGTGACAGTATCAACACAATTATATTCATATACATGAAAAGAAGTTAAAATATTCACATGAGAAGATGATTTAAACCTATGTGCAAAACTTTAGTAAATATAGATCACACAATTTGAGAAATGATGAATTCTTCCAACCTGGGCTAAAATTCCAACTCTCCCAAAAGAATTTTATTAGAAGCTCAGCAAACCTCCCCTCACATTACCTTTGTTCCTGGAGCTCAAGATGGGGTGGGCATGCAGGTGGGAGAATTGATAAACAAAATTGAGGTCTGTTGTGCTGAACCCCATCAACTCTAATGGGGATGGCACCAGGTTCAAGAGGCTGGAGAAAAGACATAGATGATGCGACCTGGATTTTATTGGGAGCTTACATACAAGGAGAGAGTCCAGTGGCAGTGGGCTAAACAGGAGGACCACAACTGCTTGTAAAAAGCATGCAGTTTATATAGCATCTTCACTTAGCACCCTCCCCCTAAATGCCTCCACCTGGCAACCTTTATTTAACCCAAAACATAGGACCTCAGTCCCCTGTACAGTATTCCACAGGATCAGCCAGGGGCTCAGATGTTCCTCATAGATAAAGAATGAATCTCCAGGTTGGCCACTCCCAGATTCCTTAACTCAGAACTCCAAACACACATTCAGGTGCATCTGCCATTCAGGGTCATTCTCAGGGCATGCTTAAGCTATTGCTATCAGGGGCATCTACTGTACAAAGTCCCATTAGGAAAGTGAAAGAGGCAGATGAATGCTGGATGAGTAAGAATGTCTGCAAGACCCTTCCCCAACATGACTGATTCTTTTGAACATTAAGTGTAAGTTCCCATGGATATACACCTAAAGGACTGACATCATTTTCTATTCCCAAGTAGTCTATGACTTAAAACATGTTGTTGATGTTGAATAAAACACTTACTAATTTAAAAAAATCAGAATTTCACCAGAGTGCCTCTTCTCCTCCAACGATCGCAACACCTCTCCAGCAGGGCACAGAACTGTGCTGAAGCTGAGATGGATGAACTGACAGGAGTAGTCTTCGGAAAGTGGGTAATAACAAACTTCGCTGAGCTAAAGGATTATGTTCTAACCCAATGCAAAGAAGCTAAGACCATGGTAAAAGATTGCAGGAGCTGTTAACTAGAATAACCAGTTGATAGAGAAACATAAATGACCTGATGGAGCTGTAAAACACAATAGGAGAACTTCACAATGCAATCACAAGTGTCCATAGCCAAATAGACCAAGTGGAGGAAAGAATCTCAAAGCTTGAAGACTGTCTTCCTGAAATAAGACAGGCAGACAAGATTAGAGAAAAAAGAATAAAAAGGAATAAACAAAACCTCCAAGAAATGTGAGATTATATAAAAAGACCAAACCTATGACAGATTGGGGTACCTGAAAGAAACAAGGATAATGGAACCAAATTGGATAACATATTTCAGGATATCATCCAGGAGAAATTCCCCAACCTAGCAAGACAGGCCAACATTCAAATTCAGGGAATCCAGAAAACTCCAGTAAGATACTCCATTAGAAGATCAACCCCAAGACACATAATCATCAGATTCTCCAAGGTTGAAATGAAGGAAAAAAATGTTAAGGACAGCCAGAGAGAAAGGCCAGGTAACCTACAAAGGGAAGCCTATCAGACTAACAGTGGACCTCTCAGTGGAAATCCTACAAGCCAGAAGAGATTGGAAGCCAATATTCAACATTCTTAAAAAAGAGAATTTCCAACTCAGAATTTCATATCTGGCCAAGCTAAGCATCATAAGCAAAGGAGAAATAAAATCCTTTTCAGACAAGCAAATGCCAAGGGAATTCATCACCACCAGGTCCACCTTGCAAAAGCTCCTGAAGGAAGCACTAAATGTGGAAAGGAAAAAATGTTCTGGCCACTACAAAAACACACTGAAGTTCACAGACCAATAACACTATGGAGCAACTACATAAACAAGTCTGCAAAATAACCAGTTAGAATCATGATGACAGGATCAAATTCACACATTACAATATTAACCTTAAATGGAAATGGGCTAAATGCCCCAATTAAAAGACACAGAATGGCAGGCTGGATAAAGAGTCAAGACCCATCAGCGTGCTGTATTCAAGAGACCCATCTCACATGCAAGGTCACATAGTCTCAAAATAAAAGGATTAAGGAAAATTTACCAAGAAAATGGAAAACAGATAAAAGCACGGGTTGCAATCCTAGTTTCTTACAAAACAGACTTTAAACCAACAAAGGTAAAAAAAGACAAAGAAGGGCATTACATAATGGTAAAGGGTTCAATTCAACAAGAGCTAACTATCCTAAATATATATGCACCCATTACAGGAGAACCCAGATTCATAAAACAAGTTATTAGAGACTGACAAAGAGGCTTAGACTCCCACACAATAGTAGTCGGAGACTTTAACACCCCACTGTCAATATTAGATCGTCAAGACAGAAAATTGACAAAGGTATTCAGGACCTGCACTCAGCTCTAGATCAAGTGGACCTGATAGATACCTACAGAACTCTCCACCCAAAAACAACACAATATACATTCTCCTCAGTGCCACATGGCACTTACTCTACAATTGATCACATAATCAGAAGTAAAACACTCCTCAGGAAATGCAAAAAAAAAAAAAAAAAACCACACTGAAATTATAACAGTCTCTCAGACCACAGAGCAATCTAATTAGAACTCAAGATTAAGAAACTCACTCAAAACTACATAACTGGATGGAAATCGAAAAACCTACTCCTGAATGACTCCTGGGTAAATAATGAAATTAAGGCAGACATCAACAAGTTCTTTGAAACTAATGAGAACAAAGAGACAATGTACCAGAATCTCTGGGATGAAGCTAAAGCAGTGTTAAGAGGAAAACTTATAGCACTAAATGCCCACATCAAAAAGCTAGAAAGATCTCAAATTGACATCTAACATCACAACTAAACAACTAGAGAACTAAGAGCAAACAAACCCCAAAGCTAGCAGATGATAGGAAATAACCAAGATCAGGATGGAACTGAAGGAGATAGAGACATGAAAAACCCTTCAAAAAATAAGTAAATCCAGGATCTGGTTTTTTGAAAAAATTAATAAAATAGACTGTGTATTAGGGTTTTCTCTAGGGAGAGAGCTAATAGGATATATGTATATATGAAAGTGAGTTTATTAAGGAGAACTGACTCACACAATCAGAAGGTAAAGTCCCACAGTAGGTCGTCTGCAAGTTGAGGAGCAAGGAAGCCAGTGGTGGATCAGTCAAAGTCCCAGAACCTCAAAAGTAGGGAAGCCAACAGTGCAGCCTTCAGTCTGTGGCCAAAGACCTGAGAGCCCCCTAGCAAACCACTGGTATAAGTCCAAGCTGAAGAACTTGGAGTCTAATATTCAAGGGCAGGAAGCATCCAGCATGGGAGAAAGATGAAGGCCTGAAGACTCAGCAAGTGTGCCCTTCCATCTTCTCCTGCCTGCTTTATTCTAGCCACACTGGCAGCTGATTAGATGGTGCCCACCCAGATTCAGGGTAGGTCTGCCTCTCCCAGTCCACTGAATCAAATGTTAATCCTTTGGCAACACCCACAGGGACACACCCAGGAACAATACTTTGCATTCTTCAATCCAATCAGGTTGACACTCAATGCTAACCATCATAGATCACTAGCTAGACTAATAAACAAGGAAAGAGAGAAGAATCAAATAGACACAATCAGAAGTGATAAATGGGATGTCACCACTGACCCCACAGAAATACAACCAACCATCAGAGAATACTGTAAACACCTCTATGCACATAAACTAGAAAATCTGGAAGAAATGGATACATTTCTGTATGCAAACCCTCTCCCAAGACTGAACCAGGAAGAAGTTGAATCCCTTCTTCAATAGAACAATAATGAGTTCTGAAATTGAGTAATAAATAGGCTATCAACCAAAAAAAGCCCAGGACCAGACAGATTTACAGCTGAATTCTACCAGAGGTAGAAAGAGGAGCTGGTACCATTTCTTCTGAAACTATTCCAAACAA